>NC_000015.10:90835217-90986732 GCF_000001405.40 Homo sapiens | reverse complement strand
TCATCACCCCAAAAAAGTAAAATAAATAAATAAATAAAATAGAAATATAATAATTTGAGCTTTATCCATATCATGTGTAGTGTGTTCATTTTCTTTTTTGACAGTTTCGCTCTGTCGCCCAAGCTGGAGTACAGTGGTACAATCTTGGCTCACTGCAACCTTGGCTCACTGCAAACCCTGCCTCCCGGGTTCAAGCGATTCTCCTGCCTCAGCCGCCCCAGTAGCTGGGATTACAGGCGCACCACCACACCCAGCTAATTTTTTGTGTTTTTAGTAGAGACAGGGTTTCCCCATGTTGGCCAGGCTGGTCTCCTGACCTCAAGTGATCTGCTCCCCTCGGCCTCCCAGAGTCCTGGAATTACAGGTGTGAGCCACTGCACCCAGCCAGTTTGTTCATTTTCATTGCTGCATTAGTGCATTGTAGGAATGTACTATTCATTCTGTTGATAGACATCTAGGCTGTTTCTGTTTCCCTGCTATTATGAGTAGTGCTTCTCTAACCATTCTCATATATGTCTTTGGTGAACGTATGTGTTCATTTCTGCTAGGTATGTATGTAGAGGTAGAACTGCTGGGTTCAGCTTTAGTAGATAGACTGCCAACAGTTTTTAAAATAGTTGTACCAATTTACACCATGCCAGCAGCATATGAAAGTTCTCACTTTTCTATATACTCACCAACACTTAATGCTGTCTTTTTAACTTTAGCCATTCTTTGAGCTGCTAGTTGTAATTTAAGAAGAATAGGCCAGGCATGGTAGCTCACGCCTGTAATCCCAGCAATTTGGGAGGCCGAGGCAGGTGGATCACTTGAGGTCAGGAGTTCGAGACCAGCGTGGCCAACGTAGTGAAACCCCATCTCAATGGCTTTTTAACTTTAGCCATTCTTTGAGCTGCCGGTTGCAATTTAAGAATACTAGGCCCGGGCGCAGTGGCTCATGCCTGTAATCCCAGCACTTTGGGAGGCCGAGGTGGGTGGATTTTTGTGTTTTTGTAAAAATACAAAAATTAGCTGGGTGTGGTGGCACACACCTGTAATCTGAGCTACTTGGGAGGCTGAAGCAGGAGAATCACTTGAACCTGGGAGGCGGAGGTTGCAGTGAGCTGAGATCTCACCACTGCACTCCAGCCAGGGCAACGGAGCGAGACTCTGTCTCAAAAAAAAAAAAGAAAATAAAAATAAATAAATTAATTAAATAAAATGGCAAGGCACAGTGGCTCACATATGTAATCCTAGCACTTTGGGAGGCCGAGGAGGGCGGATCACTTGAGGCCGGGAATTCAAGACCCACCTGGCTAACATGGCGAAACCCCAACTCTACTAAAAATACAAAAATTAGCTGGGTGTGGTAGCACCTGCCTATAGTCCCACCTACTCGGGAGGCTGAGTCAGGAGAATCATTTGAACGCAAAAGGTAGAGGTTGCAGTGAGCCAAAATTGCACCACTGCACTCCAGCCTGGGCGACAGAGCAAGATGCTGTCTCAAAAAAAAAGAAAAAACAAAAAAAAAACACCAAAAAAATAGTAATAAATTGCCAAACATTTTGCAGGAGTTTCTCACCAGCAAGTTCTTGTGTTAGTTTATTTTACCAACATCTTTTGTCCGGTTTTTCTTTAGTAAAAGTATTTATAATTCTGTATTATACTTCCATAGGTAGATCATTGTTGAAAGTCCAGAAGGTTGAGCTTCCATGATGTAATATGATATGAAATCTTGTATTGCTAGTGGCATTTGGTAGGAAAAGGGATGGGGAGTGGTTAAAGGTGAATTAAGCTGAATGCTTGTTTTCAATTTGTTTTTTTCTCGAGGCCACTGAGAAGCTAGTCTTTTTAGTTCTCGAAAATAGTGCTTTTAGTCCAGAGGCTGTGACTGATGTAACTAACAGGCCTTAGTTTTTGGTTTTCAGTGAGGTGCTGGCGGAGGAGTCCATAGTATGTCTGCAGAAAGCCCTAAATCACCTTCGGGAAATATGGGAGCTAATTGGGATTCCAGAGGACCAGCGGTTACAAAGAACTGAGGTGGTAAAGAAGCATATCAAGGTGGGTTGAATAGTACTGGTCTCTGCATTGGACCAGGGTAAGGATGTTGGTGTCTCACCCGAGATAGCATACAGAAGGGACATGTGATCATCGGCATTAGGATAGCACAGGCTCTTCCTGTTTGGTTTGGTTTGGTTTTGAAGTCCCTTCTTGAAATTTGAGGAGGCTGGGTGCGGTGGCTCATGCCTGTAATCCCAGCACTTTGGGAGGCCGAGGCGCATGGATTGCTTGAGGTCAGGAGTTCAAGACCAGCCTGATCAACATGGTGAACCTCCGTCTCTACTAAAAATAAAAAAATTAGCCGGGCATGGTGGTGAGCACCTGTAATCCCAGCTACTCAAGAGGCTGAGACAGGAGAATCTATTGAACCCGGAAGGTAGAGGTTGCAGTGAGCCGAAAGCACGCCATTGCACTCCAGCCTGGGCAACAGAGCGAGACTCCATCTCAAAGAAAAAAAGAAAAAGAAAAAAGAAATTTGAGGAGTTTGGTATTGGTGTTGGGAGTTTTTTTCCTCCATTGCCCCAAACTTATGGACTGTTTTCCCTCTTGTAGGAACTCCTGGATATGATGATTGCTGAAGAGGAAAGCCTGAAGGAAAGACTCATCAAAAGCATATCCGTCTGTCAGAAAGAGCTGAACACTCTGTGCAGCGAGTTACATGTTGAGCCATTTCAGGTCCGTGGCAGCCCACAGGGTCTCTGGTGATCTGTCTGGGGCCTGAGACTTAGAAAGCAACGTTGACTTGGGCCTGCAGATGGAAGGCTTCCTCGTAGGGATGGAGCTAGACGTAAGAAGTGGGGAAAACATGCTGTGTAGTTAATTAGGCCCAGCAGAGTAATTCTCACCTCTGTAGAGAGTTGCCCTGGTAAGAGGTGAAGCAACTAATAGATGATCAAAAAGAAGCTGCTGCTTACCATAGTTTTGCTTTGTAGGGAATATGAATTTTTTTTTATAAACGCTGAGAAAAAGGTAGGCATAGATGGTGCTGCAGTGTTCTTTCTCTGAAAGAAAATGAAAACAGGAACAAAAGTAACTAATGATTAAAAGGAATACTATGAAAACACCAACCTTTGTGGGTTTTATCATACCCAGAAGCTGCATACCACTGAACCAGCCAAAATGGCTTCTTCAGAAGAAATGTCTCAAAAGCTGGAATACTGGGAGTGCATAGTCCATTTCAGAGCATGCCATGACATCCATCTGGGTATGGAGCTGAGAAGTGGCTATATTGTGGTCCACTGCAAGTCAGGGACTTGAGTGAGGACACAGCAAGGATGAAATGAATAACAGATGGGGTCCTGAAAATCTCTGCTTAGAACCAGTAAAAATAGTGCCAGGATCATAAAAATTAGGACAGATGTGGAGCTTGGAAAGACAATGAGTACACCCATAAGGTTCTCAGGTCCCTCTTCCTGTTACAGGAAGACCTGCCTGGATATCTATTTGGAGTTAGCTTAGGAGGGAGATCACCTTTAAAGGGCAAAGGATAATTCATACTTGGTAGCCAAGAGCAATCAGGCAGAAGAGAACATGAAGTGGAGCTTCCTGGAGTCAACATAAATGTCATAAATATAATTGATTTTGGACATAGTTTCTCTTTCTTTTTTCACATTCCATGTGAAATTGGGCGAGAAGTGAGGTGTACAACGATCATCTCCCTTAAGTTACCTGATGTTCCTAGTTCACAATGTTAAATGAAATTGTGTAAATGTATAGGACATTTAAGAAAAATGTATATGTCCTATAAAAAAATGCCACTTTTTTTTTTCTTGTTAACCAGTTAGGAGTAGAGCAGGGACTACCAGATGGGTTTTTGTTGCTAAGGTGAGACGATGTTCATAGGATTAGCAGGATGAGTATTTAGATATGAGCTAGGCATGCCACCCTATAGCTAACCCAAAGCAAGCTTTCCAGCCAATTTACACTGTTATTTCTTTATTTATTTAGAGACAGAGTCTCGCTGTGTTGTCCAGGCAGGAGTGCAATGGTGTGGTCTCGGCTCACTGCAACCTCCGCCTCCCGGGTTCAAGCGATTTTCCTGCCGTAGCCTCCCGAGTAGCTGGGATTACAGGTGTCCGCCACCATGCCTGGCTAATTTTTCTATTTTTAGTAAAGACGGGGTTTCACCATGTTGGCCAGGTTGGTCTCAAACTGCTGACCTCGTGATCTGCCCACCTTGGCCTCCCGAAGTGCTGGGATTATAGGCGTGAGCCACCGTGCCTGGCTGCCAATTTACACATTCTATAAAAGTGCCTGGTGCCTGGAGTAGTCTAATCATAGAGACAAAAGGTAGAATGGTGGTTGCCAGGCTTGGAGAAGGGAAAAAATGGGGACTTATTTGTTTGAGTATGAAGTTTCACTTTTGCAAGAGGAAATGAGTTTTGGAGGTGATGGTTATGATTGCACAACAATATGACTGTACTTAATACCAATGAACTGTACACGTAATGGTTAAGATGGTAAATTTTATGTTATATGTGTTCTACCACAAGTTTTAAAATTGGGGGGAAAAGTACCCTGGTACTTACTCACTTTTCCTCACTGGGACCTTCCTTAGGAGACCCTCTTTGTGCCATATTCTGTTGACCATGAGTTGACTTACTTGTTAGTTTAACTGAAAGTCTGTCATCCACGCCTTCTTATGTTGTCCTTCTCTTCCTCTGAAGGAATTCACTTGGAATCTTATAACAGTGGTACGTTGTCTTATTCAGGAAGAAGGAGAGACGACCATCTTGCAACTAGAAAAAGATTTGCGCACCCAAGTGGAATTGATGCGAAAACAGAAAAAGGAGAGAAAACAGGAACTGAAGCTACTTCAAGAGCAAGATCAAGAACTGTGCGAAATTCTTTGTATGCCCCACTATGATATTGACAGTGCCTCAGTGCCCAGCTTAGAAGAGCTGAACCAGTTCAGGCAACATGTGACAACTTTGAGGGAAACAAAGGTACACTGCCTACATTTGTTCTTCCTAAAAGTCACTTTGGTTTTCCTCTAGGTATCTTGTAATTGCTTTGTTTTAAAGGCTTCTAGGCGTGAGGAGTTTGTCAGTATAAAGAGACAGATCATACTGTGTATGGAAGCATTAGACCACACCCCAGACACAAGCTTTGAAAGAGATGTGGTGTGTGAAGACGAAGATGCCTTTTGTTTGTCTTTGGAGAATATTGCAACACTACAAAAGTTGCTACGGCAGGTACTGTCTTCTCAAATTATGCCCTAGGATCTCCGTAGTATATAGCAGTTTGAACAAAACTGACAGCTGTTTCTTCAGTCTTAAATAAGGAGACAATGTAAGGTAAGAGAATGAGGGAAGCTAAGGATAGTAATATATGATATACAACCTTGATTTTTGTTTAACAGTTAAAAAACCTTTATATGGCTCCAAGAAAATGAAATTATAGATGAAATAATATTAGTCATTTGAATTAGACTAGTGTTTAATTAAAATTTTTTTCAGTTCTAAATTTGAATGCTAATTCTTGGGGTCTGAGATCCCGACAGCCTTACAGCTCGTGTTTAGGAGGCATGAAAACATGCTACTTTGAACTCTCATGAAAGTGCCTCCTCCTCTACTCCAGACATTTCTTTGCGGGAGGCTAGAGGGCTAGCCTCTGTGCTGCTGCTTTGCCGTGAGTGACACTGGCTTTCTATGCTGTAGCTGGAAATGCAGAAATCACAAAATGAAGCAGTGTGTGAGGGGCTGCGTACTCAAATCCGAGAGCTCTGGGACAGGTTGCAAATACCTGAAGAAGAAAGAGAAGCTGTGGCCACCATTATGTCTGGGTCAAAGGCCAAGGTCCGGAAAGCGGTAAGAAACCCAGTGGGTACTGGGTCAGCAGTCTTCTCTTAGCACTTCTGTGTTAGTCATAAAGACTGTTGTTGATTTGGCCAGGCTCAGTGGTTCATGCCTCTAATCCCAGCACTTTGGGAGGCCGAGGCAGGTGAATCATTTGAGGTCAGGAGTTCGAGACCAGCCTGGACAACATGGCGAAACCCTGTATATACTAGCCAGGTGGTAGTGGCGTGCGCCTGTAATCCCAGCTACTTGGGAGGCTGAGACAGGAGAATCGCTTGAGCCTGGGAGGTGGAGGGTTGCAGTGAGCCAGAATCGCGCCACTGCACTCCTGTCTGGGCGAGAGAGTGAGACCCTGTCTCAAAAAAAAAAAAAAAAAAAAAAAAGTGTTGATTTATAATACCTTTGTGGCTTTGCATTATAATTTTACTTAAAAGGGGGGGATCTTTTGCAAACCTGAGTGAATATAAAACTATGGCAGCCACCCTTAACAAGTTTCTTTCTTTCAGCTGCAATTAGAAGTGGATCGGTTGGAAGAACTGAAAATGCAAAACATGAAGAAAGTGATTGAGGCAATTCGAGTGGAGCTGGTTCAGTACTGGGACCAGTGCTTTTATAGCCAGGAGCAGAGACAAGCTTTTGCCCCTTTCTGTGCTGGTTAGTACAAGAGTGAGGTCTTTGGTTTGTTTGTTTGGAGACAGGTCTTACTCTGTTGCCCAGCCTAGTCTCAAGTTCCTAGGCTCAAACAATCCTCCCAACTTGGCCTCCCAAAGTGTTGGGCCACCACACCCAGCCAAAAGTGGGGTCTTCATGTGGCCTGCTCACTAGTTTTTAAGACATCCAGACATTCAACAGGAAGTATATCCTTTTCTGAACAGATAAAGCCACCTTTTCAAGACATTTAGCATAATTGCCATTCCTGTATGAAAAAGCATTTGCAAATTTTATTGGGAAATATTGGTCTCTTGCTTTCTGAAGCAATATGTCACTGTAGCCTCTAGCTGTGAAGCTTAAGTTTTTATCAGGTGCTTACTTTTTGCCAGGTGCAGTGTCAAACCCTTAATATTATTTCACATCCTCATGTCAAGAGGTGAGGATACTAAAGCACATAAATGCTGAGTCATTTAACCCAGAGACATATAATGGTAAATGCCAGAGCCTACGTTTGAGCCAAAAGGAGCTTGACTCCTGGAGTCCAGTTGAATGCTAGTCTGAACTGCACTGAATATAAAGATGGAGCTACCCCAACTAAATTCAACAGATGTTTTTGCACATTTTCTGTGATCCACCCCTCTACTGGCTGGGCAAGACAGAAAAGCAGAATATGAAAGAAACCGAAGACAAGGCAAGAGATGATGCAGATTTTTGACAACATTATTTTAGTCTCTATCCTAGTCTCTTAGGCCCTACTCCCCCAGGCTGATTGTGACAAAGCTGGTTTTTATTAACCACTATATATCTATTACACACACACACACGCCTCTTCCTGTATCAGTTTACTATAAGGAAAGAATCTATTTCCATTTTAGGGAATCGGGGATTCGTAAAATTGGATACTAAATACTAGAGGAATTGTTTTAAACTACTGGGCCTATATTTTGCAGAGGACTACACAGAAAGTCTGCTCCAGCTCCACGATGCTGAGATTGTGCGGTTAAAAAACTACTATGAAGTTCACAAGGAACTCTTTGAAGGTGTCCAGAAGTGGGAAGAAACCTGGAGGCTTTTCTTAGAGTTTGAGGTATTGTCCTAGTTTTTGTGTTTTTAACTGTTAAGAAAGCATGCCATGTACGGAATCAATCCAGTTAGCTTTGTTCTTTGCCAGGCTTTTGATACCCCATCTTTATCATTAAGTCTCTCTGAATTTCTGCTGACCGCCTCTGTTTGATAAGCTTATCTACAGGGTCTTTTAAGAGAAAAGCCCAAAATTAATGGCTTAAATAAGGTAGGCATTTCTTGCATGAATGAGGTTCAGAGGTGGGCAGTGTGGGGCAGGCATGGCAGATCTGCACAGTGAGCAGGACCCCAGGCTTCTCCGGCTCAGGGCGCTCCCCCACCACTAAGGGTGGACCTCATCTTCAGGGCCAGGATGGCTGCTAGAGCTCCCACCCTGATGGCACTTTTTTTTTTTTTTTTTTTTTTTTTGAGGTGGAGTTTCGCTCTTGTTGCCCAGGCTGGAGTGCAATGGTGCGATCTTGGCTCACCACAACCTCCACCTCACAGGTTGAAGTGATTCTCCTACCTCAGCCTCCCAAGTAGCTGGGATTACAGGCATGCACCACCACACCCGGCTAATTTTTTGTATTTTTAGTAGAGATGGGGTTTCACCATGTTGGCCAGGCTGGTCTCAAACTCCTGACTTCAGCTGATCTGCCCACCTCGGCCTCCCACAGTGCTGGGATCACAGGCGTGAGCCACCACGCCTGGCCTGATGGCACATGTCATACAGTGTGGTGGAGGAAGGAACAAAGAAGGCATTGCCCCTCACTCCTTCAAGAGCTCTTCCCGGCTCTCTTCACAGCACCGTGGCTCACATGCTCTGTCACCTGCTGGTGAGGCTGGGTGAATTGCTGCCCCAGGTAAATTCTGGTTCTGTTAAACTAAGGAAGGAGAGAAGAATGGATGTTGGGGCAGGCAACTAACATTCTCTACCATTCCAACTTTTGCTATACTTAGAATATTGCATGGGTATTGATTCCTTTTCTTCTGATAGGCAACATGGTGGGTTCCTTCAGAGCATTTTAGAGCTCAGGGACTGTGGTAAAGCAAGTGAGGTGTGTAGGGCACAGATGGAAGGAGACCTTGTTCTCGGGTTCATGCTGGCCCTGTTAGAGCTCAGAGGGCCTTCAGAGAATCTGAATTCAACTCCTTCAAGTTTACAGGCAGCAAACTAGGACTCAGAAGTGGAGAGAACTATGGGATATCTTACAGCTGCTTAAGAACAGATGTCTTTGTCCTCAGTTATTCTTTACTTCTGGTTACAACAAGAAGAGTAAACATAAATAAGGAGGCCAGGTGTGTGTGGTGGCTCACGCCTGTAATCCCAGCACTTTGGAAGGCCGAGGCAGGCAGATCAGGAGGTCAAGAGATCGAGACCATCTTGGCTAACACAGTGAAACCCCGTCTCTACTAAAAAAATACAAAAAAATTAGCCGGGCATGGTGGCGGGCACTTGTAGTCCCAGCTACTCGGGAGGCTGAGGCAGGAGAATGGCGTGAACCCGGGAGGCAGAGCTTGCAGTGAGCCAAGATCGCACCACTGCACTCCAGCCTGGGCGACAGAGCGAGACTCTGTCTCAGAAAAAAAAAAAAAAAAAAAAAAACGTAAATAAGGAGCTAAGGCAGCAACCTTTGTTGACATGCCAATATTTAAGAAGAAAACAAGAAATGAATTACCTACCATCCTCTCTAGTAACTATTGGCTGTCACCAATCAAGCAGTATGGAAGGGAAACAATTTAATTTTCTAGAATATCTTCTAAATTTTTCTGCCTGTGTGCCCCTATTTTTGAGTATACACACCTAATTTATAATTACAAGCTATATACTTGCATTACTGTTCTGATATACCTTATATGTTCTAAAAGAAAACACATGCTGGTCCGAGTGTAGTGGTGTTTATAAGTCAGTGATCACAGCCAGTTACAGATTTGTTCCTCTCCCACTCCCACTGCATTACTTGACTAGAAAGAAGACAGTAAAAAACAGAAAAGTTAACAAAAAGAAAAGTTAAAAAGAATGAGAAGCTTTAACAATTGACTTTTTTTTTTTTTTTTTTTTTGAGCGTCTCGCTCATTGCTCGGGGTGGAGCACGGTGGCGCAGTCTCGGCTCACTGCACGCCACCCAGGTTCAAGTGATTCTCCTGTCTCAGCCTCCTGAGTAGCTGGGACTGCACGTGCGCACCGTCATGCTCGCTAATTTTTTTATTATTAGTAGAGATGGGGTTTCGCCATGTTGGCCAGGTTGGTCTGGAACTGTCGACCTCAGGTGATCCACTCGCCTCGGCCTCCCAAAGTGCTGGGATTACAGGTGTGAGTCACCACGCCTGGCGAGAACAAAGAATCTTAGCAGAAGTTATTGGTCTCATGGTGCCAGGTTTTCCACTAATTAAAAATGTATTTTTCACAGAGAAAAGCTTCAGATCCAAATCGATTTACAAACCGAGGAGGAAATCTTCTAAAAGAAGAAAAACAACGAGCCAAGCTCCAGAAAATGCTGCCCAAGGTAATAATGTTGCTAAGGGTTTTTGATGCTTGGTTACAAAGATACCTCACTATTTGTATGTCTTTTTCTTTCTATTGTTTAGCCCCAAAACTATTTTCTTCAAAGCTTAGGCAGAGATAATAAGTTATATATTTAGTATAAGCAACTCCATATCAAGGTGTATTCGTTTGCTAGGACTGCCATAATAAAGCACTACAGGCCAGGTGTAGTGGCTCACGCCTGTAATCCCAGCACTTTGGGAGGCCTAGGCAGGCATATCGCGAGGTCAGGAGTTCAAGACCAGCCTGGTCTTGATCATGAGGTCAGGAGTTCAAGACCAGCCTGGTCTTGATCATGAGGTCAGGAGTTCAAGACCAGCCTGGTCTTGATCATGAGGTCAGGAGTTCAAGACCAGCCTGGTCTCTACTAAAAATACAAAAATTAGCCAGGCATGGTGGCGGGCACCTGTAATCCCAGCTACTCAGGAGGCTGAGGCAGGAGAATCACTTGAACCCAGGAGGCAGAGGTTGCAGTGAGCCAAGACCGCGCCACTGCACTCCAGCCTGGGCAACAGAGTGAGACTCCATCTCAGAGAGAAAAACAAACAAAAAAACAAAACACTACGGACTGGGCAGTTTCGACAACAGCAACTTATTTTCTCACAACTCTAGAAGCTGTAAATCTGAGATCAACATGTCGTTGGCAGAGTTGGTTTCTTCTGAGGCCTTTCTCCTTGGCTTTGTAAATGGTTGTCGTCTTCTCCGTGTGTTCACATGGTTTTCCCACAATATGTGTGGCCTAAACACTCCCAGTCGTATGAGATTAGGGCCCACCTAATGACCTCATTTTAACTTAATTCTTTCTTTTTTCCCCCCGCAAGAGATGGGGTCTCGCTGTGTTGACCAGGCTGGTCTTGGACTCCTGGCCTCAAGCATTCCTCCCATCTCGGTCTCAGGAATGCTAGGGTTACAGGAATGAGCCACCATACCTGGCCTTAATTCTCTTTTTAAAGACGCTGTCTCCAAATACAGTCACATTCTGAGGTACTGGGGGTTAAGGCTTCAACATTTGAATTTGGGGGAAACACAATTCAGTCAGTTACATGAGGAAAGCTTTTGAGAGAGAGTCCTGTGGGCTCCATTACCATTTTCCACTTTGATAATAATAATACCATTTTTTGAGTTAAGTCAGGGATATCATTTCAAAACGCTCTCATTTAGTGATTCGTCTAATCCTTACAACATCCTTATGAGGTCGGTATTCTTTCCATTTTTACAGACGAGGAAACTGAGGTACTAAGAAATTAGGTAAATCTGGCCGGGCGTGGTGTCTCACTCCTGTAATCCCAGGGCTTTGGGAGGCCGAGGCAGTTCGAGACCAGCCTGGCCAACATGACGAAACCCCATCTCTACTAAAAAATACAAAAATTAACCAGGTGTGGCGTATGCCTGTAATCCCAGCTACTCGGGAGGCTGAGGCACAAGAATCGCTTGAACCCGGGAGGTGGAGGTTGCAGTGAGCTGAGATCGTGCCACTGCACTCTAGCCTGGGCGACAGAGTGAGACTGTCTCAAAAAAAATGTAAATTTGCTCACTGCTTCACAGCCAGTAAAGAGGGTGATTCCAGATTGAACCCCATTAAGTCTGATTTCAGAGTCCTGCTCCTAATGTTCACCGCCTATTTCATATTGCTGATCTTCCCTGTGCTGCCTCCAACTTCAGGCACCAAAACCTTAGTGGTCAAACTTTGGGTTCTTGCCATTTTCCACTCTTGTGTGTTGTGTGAATGAAATGTCTCCGGGCTTTGATTTCTGGTCACTCTGACCTGTACCCATGTGGGCCCAGCTACCTGAAATGAGGCTAATGATGCTCTGGGGAGGAGGAGTCACTCTCTAGGGAAATCATTTCATTTGGGCTTTGCACTAAAGAGTTGAAGTAATTAACATGTCCTTGTTTCTGGTCTCAGCTGGAAGAAGAGTTGAAGGCACGAATTGAATTGTGGGAACAGGAACATTCAAAGGCATTTATGGTGAATGGGCAGAAATTCATGGAGTATGTGGCAGAACAATGGGAGATGCATCGATTGGAGAAAGAGAGAGCCAAGCAGGAAAGAGTAAGTGTGAACGTGAACGCAAATTGGGAAAAGACGAAGAAAGTAATCTGAGCAGCCCATAGTCTCTGCCGGGGACCAGGGTTTGTGGAACAGGGAGCCGGGGACCGGGGCTTGTGGAACGGGAAGCCGGGGACCGGGGCTTGTGGAACGGGGAGCCGGGGACCGGGGCTTGTGGAACGGGGAGCCGGGGACCGGGGCTTGTGGAACGGGGAGCCCGCGGCAGCTCTTTAGCTCTGGCTGTAGAGACACGGGCCTAGATTCCCGGCCCTGCTGCTGTTGCCATCCCAGACCCGCTCTCTTCCTGAGATTTATCACTGTTGCTTCTGACTTTCACACAGCAACTGAAGAACAAAAAACAGACAGAGACAGAGATGCTGTATGGCAGCGCTCCTCGAACACCTAGCAAGCGGCGAGGACTGGCTCCCAATACACCGGGCAAAGCACGTAAGGTAAACACAAGGCTTAGGGAAACACTGATTTCAAGGGAGTGGGTGAGGGTAGTCCCAGCCACCTCTTTGAAGGGGGCCAGCCCCTCCACACCTGTGGGTATTTCTCATCAGGTGGGACAAGAGACAGAGAAAAGAAATAAGACACAAAGTATAGAGAAAGAACAGTGGGCCCAGGGGACCAGCACTCAGCATACAGAGGACCTGCACCAGCACCGGTCTCTTGAGTTCCCTCAGTATTTATTGATTACTATTTTCACTATCTTGGCAAGGGGAATGCGGCAGGAGGACAGGGTGATAGTGGGGAGAAGGTCAGCAGGAAAACGTGAGCAAAGGAATCTGTGTCACAAATAAGTTCAAGGGAAGGTACTGTGCCTAGATGTGCACGTAGGCCAGATTTATGCTTCTCCCCACCCAAACATCTCAGTGTAGTAAAGAGTAACAGAGCAGCATTGCCGCCAGCGTATCTCGCCTCCAGCCACAGGGCAGTTTTCTCCTATCTAAGAATAGAACGAACATAGGTACGTACGATCGGGTTTTACACCGAGATATTCCGTTCCCAGGGGCATGCAGGAGACGGAGGCCTTCCTCTTTTACGAATCCTCCTGAGCACAGACGACGGGTGTCGGGCTGGGGGATGGTCAGGTCTTTCCCTTCCCACGAGGCCATATCTCAGGCTGTCTCAGTGCGGGGAAATACCTGGACAATACCCAGGCTTTCTTGGGCAGAGGTCCCTGCGGCTTTCCGCAGTGCATCGTGCCCCTGGTTAATCGAGAATGGAGAATGCAGATGACTTTTACCGAGCATACTGCCTGTAAACATATTGTTAACAAGGCACATGCTGCACAGCCCTAGATCCCTTGAACCTTGATTCCATACAGCACATGTTTCTGTGAGCACAGGGTTGGGGCTAAAGTTGCAGATTAACAGCATCTCAAGGCAAAACAATTTTTCTTAGTACAGATCAAAATGGAGTTTATGTCTTCCTTTTCTACATAGACACAGTAACACTCTGATCTTTCTTTTCCCTACCTCTTGCCCTCTGTCCTGCAGAGATGGGAAAGGGTTTTTCTGTCCCTGCATGTCGAGTCCACTTGAGTGGATGGAAGGCTGAGTAGCGGCCTATAGTGACAGTCACGGAGTGGCCAGCTTTGGTGTCTGTGCTTGTTGCGTCCTTGCATTAAATTCGGGGTGCGGTGGGGGAATGATTGCCAACATTCTGGTAACGATGAAAAGAAAGCTTCAGCAGTTTTCCTGAAAACCTGTAATGCCATTTTCCCTGTAAGACCAAGAGATGGCCTTGTGGTACCATGTGAAAAACAACGTTCACGCTTACTAAATGGAAGATGTAATAATTCTTCATCTCTACAGCACAGTCAGAGAGGACTTTTTTTTTTTTTGAGATGGAGTTTCGCTCTTGTTGCCTAGGCTGGAGTGCAATGGGTGATCTCAGCTCACTACAGCCTCTGCCTCCTGGTTTCAAGCAATTCTCCTGCCTCAGCCTCCCAAGTAGCTGGGATTACAGGCATGTGCCACCACACCCGGCTAATATTGTATTTTTAGTAGAGACAGGGTTTCTCCATGTTGGCTAGGGTCTTGAATTCCTGACCTCAGGTGATCCACCCACCTTGACTTCCAAAGTGCTGGGATTACAGGCGTGAGCCACTGTGCCTGGCCTACTTTTTTCTTTTTGATAAATAAAAGAGTATTATTTCTTCTCTCTACTGCTATTTTATAACATTAAATTTATTATTTTTAGACAGTGTCTTGCTCTATCACCCACACCGGAGTGCAGTGGCGCCATCATGGCTCACTGCAGCTCAGCCTCCTGGGCTCAAGTGATTCTCTAACCTCAGCCTCCCATGTAGCTGAGACTTACGGGCACATGCCACCATACCCGGCTAATTTTGGGGTTTTTTTTTTTGTTGGTGGTGTTTTTTTTTTTTTTTTTTTGAGTTTCAGTAGAGATGAGGTCTCACTAAGTTGTCCAGGCTGGTCTCAAACTCCTGAGCTCAAGTGATCCTCCTGCCTCAGCCTCCCAAAGTGCTGGGATTACAGGCATGAGCCACTGTGCCTGGCCTAAAATGTGTTTTTTTTGGTTTTGTTTTTTTGAGACGGAGTCTCGCTCTGTTGCCCAGGCTGGAGTGCAGTGGCGCAATCTCAGCTCACTGCAACCTACACCTCCTGGGTTCAAGTGATTCTCGTGCCTCAGCCTCCTGAGTAGCTGGGACTACAGGCCCGCGCCACTATGCCCACCTAATTTTTGTATTTTTAGTAGAGATGGGGTTTCACTTTGTTGGCCAGGATGGTCTCAATCTCTTGACCTCAGAAGATCTGCCCGCCCCAGCCTCCCAAAGTGCTGGGATTACAGGCGTGAACCTCCACCTCCCGAGTAGCTGGGATTACAGGCATGTGCTACCACACCTAATTTTGTATTTTTAGTAGAGACGGGGTTTCTCCATGTTGGTCAGGCTGGTCTCATACTCCCGACCTCAGATGAGCCACCGTGCCCGGCCCCCTAGAATTTTTTTAATTAAAAAAAAAAAAAAAAAGTGTTGGCTGGGTACAGTGGCTCAAGCCTGTAATCCCACTACTTCGGGAAGCCAAGGTAGGGGGATTGCTTGAACTCAGGAGTTGGGAGACTAGGAAACATGTTGAAGCCCCATCTCTACTACAAATACAAAAATTAGCTGGTTGTGGTGGCACACGCCTGTGGTCCCAGCTACTCAGGAGGCTGGGGTGGGAGGATTGCTTGAGCCCAGGAGGTCGAGGCTGCAGTGAACCAAGATTGTACCACTGTACTCCAGCCTGGGTGACAGAGTGAGACCCCATCTCAAAAACATTTACAGCTCTTATCATTAGCATATAATAAGTTTTGACATATGTAGGTTTATACAATGAAACTGTCACCATAATTTAGATAATGAACATTTCATGGTCCCCAAAGTTTCCTAGTGCCTCTTTGTATTACCTCCCTCCTTCCCTGGCTCCTAGTTTGCCCCCAGCCTCTAGCTGTGGCGAGTAGGGATTTAGTCTTTAACTAACTATAGATTAGTTTTCATTTTGAAACATTTTACATAGAATCCCGCAGTACATATTCTTTTTTGTCTGGCTTCTTTCATTTAGTGTAGATTCATCTCTGTTGCTGTATGTATCAAAAGGTCACTCCTTTTTATTGTAGATCAATATTCATTCCACTGTATGAATTTACCACAGTTTGCTTGTCCACTTACCTGCTGATGGGTATTTGGCTGTTGCCAGCTTTTGGCTGCTGCAGGGAGCTGTTGTGAACATTTACGTCTAAGTCTTTGTATGGATCTATGCTTTCATTTCGTTTGGGTAGAAACATCTAAGAGTGGAATGGCTGGGTCATATGCTAGATGTCTTGTGCCACAGTGGTTGTACCATTGTACACTTCCATTTGCTGGATAGCAATAGGCTTTGAAAATTTTTCACAAGTTACTTCAAATCTATGCAGTATTAGACACAGCAGGCCCTTCACCATGTAAACCCGTCTTCCCTAGACTGCCTCCTCCCATAGTCATTTCTCTGTAGGGTAGACAGGTTGCTAGAAATGCTGAGGATGTTACTGCACATCAGTTACCCACGTGCTCTTCTCCCTAGCTGAACACTACCACCATGTCCAATGCTACGGCCAATAGTAGCATTCGGCCTATCTTTGGAGGGACAGTCTACCACTCCCCCGTGTCTCGACTTCCTCCTTCTGGCAGCAAGGTTAGTATGCCCTGTGTCTAAGCACATCCTCACATGCGTCCCTAGCCTGTTCACCCAGAGGCCCCACCTACTTGTTCTAGATTCTAAGATCCCTGGATTTGGTTCTTATTGAGATGCTGAGAGTTGACAGATATAAGCTAGCTCACCATTAAATAATGGTCCAAAACTAACGTGCAAAAAAAGAGAACAGTCACTCTGAGCCCCACTGGTACCATGGGAAGCACTGGGATGTGTCTGGGAAACTGAAGATCAGGCAGGGTCGCTGTAGACTCAATTCCAAGCCCAGTCCTCAGCTGGTATGGAGATAGGTCCCCTACATGTGGGTTCTAGCCCAGTGAAACCAGATCACTAGACATGCCAGGTACTCAGTAGAGATGTGGAAAGTATGTGGCAAAACACATTCAGTCTTTCAAATATTTTATTAGACTATGCTCAAGATAGGTGTTCTGTAAATCAAGAATTCATATTTAAAAAAAATTTTTTTCTAGAGACAGTGTTTTGCTATGTTGCCCAGGCTGGTCTCGAACATGTCGCCTCAAGCAATCCTCCTGCCTTGGCCTCCCAAAGTGTTGGGATTATAGGCATGAGCCACACCCAGCCCCATATATATATATATATATATATATATATATATATATATGTTTTTTTTTTAACTAAAAAGTATAGGATTATAGACATGAATATAAAGATAGTCTCAGCCTTTGACCAGTGCAGGTATTGTGTGTGCGTGTGCACGTTCATTAGAAGGATGATACATGGATCTCTTTCCTTTCTCTGCAGCCAGTCGCTGCTTCCACCTGTTCAGGGAAGAAAACACCCCGTACTGGCAGGCATGGAGCCAACAAGGAGAACCTGGAGCTCAACGGCAGCATCCTGAGTGGTGGGTACCCTGGCTCGGCCCCCCTCCAGCGCAACTTCAGCATTAATTCTGTTGCCAGCACCTATTCTGAGTTTGCGGTAATTCACCTTTTCTAATATCTACCAGTCTCTGGGGAGCACACAGTTGGGGCAGAGTGGGTATCTTCCCAGGGGCACCCAGGCTATTAGCTAGGGCAGCTACCTTGGAGGCTGAGAATCCCTTTCCTGCTTTGACCATGGCAGGGTGGGTGTGATTTAAGGGGGGGTTGTGTAGGAAGGAAGTTGGCAGCAGCAACTAGACATTTAACCTGGATCCTTCTGCTTAATACATACCATTCCCTGGCTGCAGGAGGCAACCCCTCTATCACTGTCCTGGTGCTCTCTTGGTGGAGTTCTTGGTAATTGTCTTAATTCTTTGTTCTTAGAAGGATCCGTCCCTCTCTGACAGTTCCACTGTTGGGCTTCAGGTCTGTATGGCAATCCCTGCATGTCCCTTTTCCAAACTGATCTGTCATCTGCTGGCTTCATTCATCTGGGCACAGGGCTACACTAACTAATAATCTCAGCAGTGTTACAAAGGAAGCAGGAATTCCTATCATGGACTCAAAAAAACACATCTGATTTACATTCACAACAGATTAATTAATAAAATTTGTTCAGACTTGAATTGGATTCTCAGCCCCTAAAGTCAGGCACAGTTTTAAATCACGTTTAACAGAAAACCTTGACCCTCCCCAATTGTGACATCAAAGGCCTGCAATAGCTGGAAAGAATAGAGGCCCCCAATCACATGGGGAAGGGAGCCCCAGCTGTGTGCTGCCTACAATGAGGCTCTTGGCCTGTGTGCTGATTATTTCCTGGAGTATATGCCTTCCTAACCCCTCAGGGCTTAACCGCCAGCTCTATTCTCAGCTAGCTAATGCTGATTTCCTCACCTTTGCCTCTTTCCATACATTGAGCTACTGAAGCATAGATGAAGCACTGGAAGCAAGTTTTTCCAGAATGCTCTTCACTTCCTAGTATCCTACTCTATATTTGCTAACACCTAACTACACTGCCTTTTACTTAATCTGTGATTTCTTCTCTCAATATTTTACTAGCAAGAGGAGAGGATGTTCCTCACCCTTGAGGGGATATTGAGTTAAACCCCTAGCCTGCCTCCCCTCTTAATTGCTGCAGGGATAGAGAATGGAACAGTTGGCCAAGGCTGCAGCTAGTTTTGATCACTGAAACTGGCTTCCTACTCCAGCATGTTTTTCAAATTACGTGGCTGGTGGTGCTTCTACCTTTAAAAGTGGGTGTGTGTCACTCTGGCTGATTGCTGGACAGAGGTCCAGCTTTCTCTTTTTCGCTTGTTCAACCAAGGCCCATTTTATCTGAGGCTTAAATGTACCTGCCTATCTGTGTGGCTAGTCCTAGGTAGGTTCGTCTGGTTTGGGTTGCTATGGCTGATAGACTCCACCAGGCAGCACCAAAGCCGGTAAACTAACCTCTGCTAATATCTGTCTTTCTCAATAGCCATTCATGCTTTATCTTTTGCTGCTCTACCATGTGCTCCAGCATGAGATCAAATCACCAGCAGGTTACAAGGCCTCAGCCCCAGGGATTGGTAGATATATGTTCTGGCCCATTGTTTTATAAAGGGCTCAAGAGACCAAAGCTTGTTGCCTACTTACCTTGACAACTCTAAAGTAGCTCTGTGAAGTAGAGTCATGCCTCGCTTAATGACAGGGATATGTTCTGAGAATGTGGGGCAATTTCATTGTGCACATATCAGAGTGTACTTAACAGTCCTAGACAGAACAGCCTACACACCTAAACTATATGGTATGGCGTTTTCCTCCTAGGCTACAAACCTGGGCAGCATGTTACAGAAAGAATACTGTAGGCAATTGTGGGTTTTTTTGATTCAGGCTATTCCTGGGATACTGTAGGCAATTGTAACGCAATGGTAAGTATTTGTGTATCTAAACATAGAAAAGGTACAGTAAAAATATGGTATAATCTTATGGGACCACCATAGTGTATGTGGCCTGTCGTTAACTGAAACATCATTATGCAGTGCATGACTGTATGAAGGATTTCTCTTCTGTGAGGTGTAACAGAATGGACTGGCTGAGGAAAAAGGGGTCACGGGCATGCGTGCACATGCACTCTGTCTGTGACTAATAGAATGGTGCTCAGAGTTCCTCACCTTTTACTCCTAACGCAGCCTATTGCAGGCTAGGGATCTCAGAGAAACTACCTTCAAGGGACCTTTTGCTGACACTTAACCAAACTTAGAAGGGTGGGCCATGTGTAAGAGAGGCAGTATGGCCACTGATGTTATTTATTTTTCAACAGCGAGAACTTTCAAAGGCTTCCAAATCTGATGCTACTTCTGGAATCCTCAATTCAACCAACATCCAGTCCTGAGAAGCCCTGATCAGTCAACCAGCTGTGGCTTCCTGTGCCTAGACTGGACCTAATTATATGGGGGTGACTTTAGTTTTTCTTCAGCTTAGGCGTGCTTGAAACCTTGGCCAGGTTCCATGACCATGGGCCTAACTTAAAGATGTGAATGAGTGTTACAGTTGAAAGCCCATCATAGGTTTAGTGGTCCTAGGAGACTTGGTTTTGACTTATATACATGAAAAGTTTATGGCAAGAAGTGCAAATTTTAGCATATGGGGCCTGACTTCTCTACCACATAATTCTACTTGCTGAAGCATGATCAAAGCTTGTTTTATTTCACCACTGTAGGAAAATGATTGACTATGCCCATCCCTGGGGGTAATTTTGGCATGTATACCTGTAACTAGTAATTAACATCTTTTTTGTTTAGGCATGTTCAATTAATGCTGTAGCTATCATAGCTTTGCTCTTACCTGAAGCCTTGTCCCCACCACACAGGACAGCCTTCCTCCTGAAGAGAATGTCTTTGTGTGTCCGAAGTTGAGATGGCCTGCCCTACTGCCAAAGAGGTGACAGGAAGGCTGGGAGCAGCTTTGTTAAATTGTGTTCAGTTCTGTTACACAGTGCATTGCCCTTTGTTGGGGGTATGCATGTATGAACACACATGCTTGTCGGAACGCTTTCTCGGCGTTTGTCCCTTGGCTCTCATCTCCCCCATTCCTGTGCCTACTTTGCCTGAGTTCTTCTACCCCCGCAGTTGCCAGCCACATTGGGAGTCTGTTTGTTCCAATGGGTTGAGCTGTCTTTGTCGTGGAGATCTGGAACTTTGCACATGTCACTACTGGGGAGGTGTTCCTGCTCTAGCTTCCACGATGAGGCGCCCTCTTTACCTATCCTCTCAATCACTACTCTTCTTGAAGCACTATTATTTATTCTTCCGCTGTCTGCCTGCAGCAGTACTACTGTCAACATAGTGTAAATGGTTCTCAAAAGCTTACCAGTGTGGACTTGGTGTTAGCCACGCTGTTTACTCATACAGTACGTGTCCTGTTTTTAAAATATACAATTATTCTTAAAAATAAATTAAAATCTGTATACTTACATTTCAAAAAGATATAGTGTGGTGTTTCCTTTTTTTCCCCAGTCACTTTTTAGTTGGTTGGTCTGTGTGTGAAAAACAAACACAAAAAACTAAAAGGACCTCCTGGAAATTTTTAGTCAGGAGTGTGATTTTTTTTTTTGAGTCTCACTCTGTCGCCCAGGCTGGAGTACAGTGGCACTATCTTGGTTCAGTGCAACTTCCACCTCCCAGGTTCAAGCGATTCTCCTGCCTCAGCCTCCCGATTTGCTGGGATTACAGGCACGCACCATCACACCTGGCTAATTTTTGTATTTTTAGTAGAGACAGGCTTTCACCATGTTGGCCAGGCTGGTCTTGAACTCCTGACCTCAGATGATCTGCCTGCCTCCCAAAGTGCTGGGATGACAGGCATGAGCCACAGCACCCGGCCGAGTGTGATTTTTAAAATATTCTCTGGTACATTTCTAAATTAAGAATATCTCTTACTCTAATTTTTTGGTGAGAAATATAAAACCTAACCCCTGATGTGTAGAGAGCAAAGGGAGTCCTAGGATGCTTCTGGCTTCAATGCCGTTTGTCTCAATATGGGGAGGCTGCCCAACTTCAACAGCGTTACTGAAGGAGGATGGACATAAACTGCACACATGTGAAGCGTAAGAGAAAAACCATCGCCACAGTCCAGTTAACCAAGTCTCTCTACCCCAGCAGTTCTTCCCACCCCTTTCTCACTCCTCCTTCCCAGCCTCACCCTGCCGAGCAACCACTGATTTTTTTTTTTTTTTTTTTTTTTTTTTTTGAGATGGAGTCTCGCTCTTGCCAGGCTGGAGTGCAGTGGCACAATCTCAGCTCACTGCAATCTCTGCCTCCCAGGTTCAAGGGATTCTCCTGCCTCAGCCTCCCGCGTAGCTGGGACTGCAGGCACGTGCCATCACGCCTGGTAAATTTTTGTATTTTTGGTACAGACAGACAGGGTTTCACTGTATTAGCTAGGATGGTCTCGATCTCCTGACCTCATGATCCGCCCACCTCGGCCTCCCAAAGTGCTAGGACTACAGGCATGAGCCACTGTACCTGGCCCACCGATTTGTTACTACAGATTAGTTTGCGTTTTCTACAGTTCGATGTAAGTAGAATCATACAGTATATATTTTTTTGGTCTGGTTCTTTCACTACTTTCAGATTTACCCATATTGTTGCTTATATCCATAATTCTTTTTTTTTTTTTTTTTTTTTTTTTTTTTTTTTTTTGCTTAGTATTCCATGGTGTTGATATACCAGTTTATTCGCCTGTTAGGTTTATTTTTCACATTTGGCTTTTCTCCAGTTTTTGGCTATTAAAAACAAGGCTGTTATAAACATTCATGTACAAGTCTTTGTATGGATATATTTTTTTTTCTGGATAAATACCTAGGAGTGAAATGGCTGGATCACATCTATGGTATGTGTACACTTAACTTTTTAAGAAATGCCAAACTGGGCCGGGCATGGTGGCTCACGCCTGTAATCCCAGCACTTTGGGAGGCTAAGGTGGGCAGATCACGAGGTCAGGAGTTCGAGACCAGCCTGGCCAACATGGTGAAACCCCATCTCTACTAAAAATACAAAAATTAGCTGGCTGTGGTGGCACACACCTGTAATCTCAGCTATTCAGGAGGCTGAGGAAGGAGAATTCCTTGAACTCAGGAGGCGGAAGTGGCAGTGAGCTGAGATTGCACCACTGCACTCTAGCCTGGGCAACAGAGCAAGACTCCATCTTAAAAAAGAAGAAATGCCAAACTGTTTTCCAAAGCAGTTGTACCATTTTACATTCCTACCAGTAATGTATGAAGGTTCCAGTTTCTCCACATCTTCACCAACAGTTGGTATGTTCAGCCTTTATGTAATTCTAGTTATTCTGTGTATGGAGTGGTGTCTCACTATGGTTTTCATTTACAACTCCCTAATGACTAATGATGTAGAGCATCTTCTCATATGCTCACTTGCTATCCTTCTGTCGTCTTTGTTGACTTTTGTCCATTTTAAAAAATGGCTTGGCCAGGCATGATGGCTCATGCCTATAATCCTAGTACTTTGGGAGGCTAAGGCAAGTGGATCGCTTCAGCCCAGCAGTTTGAGACCAGCCTGGGCAATATGCAACAACCCCATCTCTACTAAAAATACAAAAAACTAGCCAGATGTGGTGGCACGTGCCTGTAGCCCCAGCTACCCGGGAGGATGGCTTAAGCCCAGAAGGTGGAGGCTGTACTCCAGCCTGGACAACAGAGAGACCCTGTCCAAAAAAAAAAAAAAAAACCCACAATGAAATACCACTTCACACCCATTAGGATGGCTGTTAACCAGAAATAGAAAACAAGTGTGGACGCGGATGTGGAGAAATTAGGATTTGTGTGCACTTCCAGTGGGGATGTAAAATGATGCAGCCTCTGTGGGAAACAGGGCAGTTCCTCAAAAAAATTTAGAATTACCACACAATCCAGCAATTCCACTCTGGGTATATATCCAAAAGAACTGAAAGCAGAGACTCAAGAGAGTTGTACACCCATGTTCCCAGCAACATTATTGACTGTAGTGAACAACTCAGATATCCACCAATGCACGGATGAATAAAACGCAGTGTATACATACAACAGAATCTTAGCCTTTAAAAGGCAGGAAGTCTAGATACATAAGCTACATCATGGATGAACTTGGAGGACATGCTGCTAAGTGAGATAAGCCAGTCATAAAAAGACAAATACTATGGGATTTCACTTACATGAGGCACTTACAGTATCATAGGAACAGAAGGTTAGGACTGTGGTTGCCTGGGGCTGGGGAAGGGGAGACTGACGAGTTAAGTGTTTAATGCACAGAGTTTCAGCATAGAATGATGAAAAAGTTCTGGAAATGCATAGGGGTGACGGTTGCACAACAGTGAATGCATATAATGTCACTGAACTATGTACTTAAAATGGTTAAAAACAATTTTTGTTTTTTATTGAACATAAATTTTATGTTCAGTATATTTTACCACAATAAAAAAGACCCCATGGGTGGGAAACATTTGCTAAACCACAGACACACACATGCACAAATAGAATTTAACTATAAAGAAAACTACTGATAAGCTTATTTTATCAAAATAAGTTGATACTTGTAAAGCACTTTGAGCCTTACCTGGCATGGAGTAAGCATCACCTAAGTATTAAAATTGGTAATACCAAGAGAGACTGAAACAAACTACATTGTAGCAGAAGATACTCTGAATACTAACTCTCAAAAGACTTGTATCTGAAATATCCAAAAGAAAAATCACTAAGGAAAATACAGAACATTTTAAAAGGCCAGAAAACTTGAACAGGCACTTGACAACAGAAAAACTCCAAGTGGCCAATAAACATATGAACTCTTCGCCTCAAGCAATCTCCCTGCTTAGCCTCCCAAAGTGCTGGGACTACAGGTGTGAGCCACCATGCCCAGCCATCCAAAACAAATGAAAAGCTACTCAACCTCATCAGTATCCAGGGAAATGCCAATTAAAACCAGTGTGCATCTACCTGACATTTTAGCCACAGTAGACCCCACCCTGCTGGGGGCAACAGTTATCTAGTAAAATTAAAGGTATCTCCTGACTTAGCAATTCAACTCAATGTTCTGCAAAGGAACTTGTGCACATGTGCAGAAGACTGCACAAAGAATTATGTGGAATGACCAAAATCAGAAACAATAAAAATGACCATCAACAAGGCTGTATCACTTGAGGTATTATTCATACAACAGAACACCATATAGCATTAAAAATGAACTCCAGGACCCAACAAGGATGGATTATACAATGCTGAGTGACAAAAACGACACAAAAGCACATACACAGGATTCCATTTATCTAACACTCAAAAGCAAACACAACTATGTCGTATAAGGCTGCATACAAGAATGGTAAAATTCAAACGAAAGCAGGGAAATGACTGACAGAAGACGATGACCTGGAATGTGCCCCAATCTCAGCTGCACATCAAATGTACCTGGGATGAGGTGGGTGGAGCTTTGAATCTACCACTATCCAGGCCACACACCTAGAAGCTCTGGTTTCATTGTTTCATTGATTTCATTGTTTTGATTGATGCTGACCTTAGGCAGCAGAGTTTTCAATGCTCTCCAGGTGTTTCTAAAGTGCAGACAAGTTTAGGACCGTGCTTGAGGGTGAAGGGCAGGACTGTGATGGGGAGGGGCAAATATGGGGCCCTTGGGGTGCAGGCAATGGTTTTCCTTGACCTGAATGGGGGTCTCACAGGTGTTGCATATACATATACGTACACATGTCAGCTCTTCCCTTTCTCCACAGCATACACGTAGGTGTTCCACGGCCCACAGGTGACAGCCTTTACTTGGAGTTGCTTATCTACAAAGTATTCCACACGGCGAGGCCGATCCAAGCTGGTGGTGTCCTCGTGGCCCAGCTGTCCATATTTACCTAAAGTGAAATCAGCCCCTTTGCCATCGTCTCCACTGGGTCTTGCTGCTGCTTTCCCTCCAGGAAGGGGCCCAGACTATCAAATGAAGTGCTGGGATTATGCCCCACTGCTCTGTGAATCCAAGAGACCCAGAGCCAGGCAACCTTGGGGATCCCCAAGAGGCTAGTGGCGACCAGCCACTCCAGGCAAGACGCTCCTCCAGACTTCCCTGCTATCCAAGCTAAGATGTTCAGAGCACACACTTCCATCGAATCTTTTTCTCCACCCAGTGTCACATCCACAAAAAGCTGCTTTGTAAGTGCTGGTTGGATACTCCCTTAAGACAGTCTTTCAGAGAGGTAGGCGGGTGGTACCGATATCCTCTCCATGTCTCCCCTGTCTGGCCTCGGACTGAGCGCGCCTATGTCTGTTCCAACCCCAGGGAGGGAGCAGTCCTGTTCCTCCCAGTGACCTGGCCGAGGCCCCTGCTTCCTCCAGTCTTGTTGGCTTTGTCACCTGCCCTGTACTCCCAGGTCTTTCTTCTCCTTGGTTTCAGGGTCACAAAAACAATCCTTTTACTTACCCCAGCCCCAGGTGTAGAGCTCCCCTGTTCCTGAAAGCAAAAGGACAATCGATAGTTGTCACTACGGTTCTTTGGCAAGGCATCTGTCCAGCCCAGCTTGGCACAGCCCACAGCTAGCATATTACAATCCTCATGAGATCTGCCTGGCATGGAACAACATATTCTCTTAACAACTGGCTGATCACACGTGGCATGGCAGAGGATCCCGAGGGAAAAAGTGGCGGATCTTCCTGTGTGCCATGCTACCGAGCGCCGCAGTCTTCCATGCCAGACTGGACAGTCCCTGCTGTCAGAGGCGGCGGCGGGCAGGGAATGTGTCTGTGGCCGTGCAGGGAGGACAGAAAGCATCAGCCTCCCACCAGAAGGAAGAAACTTCTGGGCCTGACAGGCTGGGGAACTACTGTGAAACAACAAGGGGGTTGGGGCTTATCCACTGAGCAAGGTAGCTGCTCTGTATGAGCCACAGAAGCCTTAAGACAGAAGTTTTTCCGTCGACCACACCCCCTTCCGTAGGCACCAGCTCGAGTGGAGCAGAGTGCCTCCCAGCCCCACTCACGTGTCACCACAGCTGTGTGCCGGGATCCACAGCTGGCCTTGACTGCATCTGAGCCCATGGGGAGATCCAGTAATGCCGGGAAGGGCTGGACAGCTATGAAGGGGGCAGGGGCTCCATCCTCAGCCCCACCCGTTCTCTTCACCTGAGAACCATCTTCATTCAGTTCTGTGGCTTCAGAATGATAATAATGATGTGAACACCAACTGAGCCCTGAGCTAAATCTTATTCATGCAGTCACTTATTGCCACAACAGCTCTGAGGTACACGACTGCCTAGCTCCAAAGCTGGTGCTCCCAACCCCTACATTCTGCAGGCAGGGCTGGCACTGCTGCACAAGTGTGTTGTGCCAAGACCGGCATCAGCCTTGCCAATGCTCCCTCCCATAAGGGGCTCACATGCTCCATCTGAGCAGTGTAGCTCTGAGGCCAGCATACAGCCAGGAGTTAGGAATGACAGCCACATCCTGGGGAGACGGCTGTGGGAGCCGAGATGACCCTCACCTTCCCTTGCGACAGTCTCTCCATCCTCTGCCAGGTTCCTGGTGGGCAGGGCCAGCTGCCCTGATTCATTCCAGCCCCAGATATAAATATCCCCAGTCTCTGAAAGAGATCAAGGGGACACATGAAACAGACTGTGAAGCCCCTGCATCCATCCAAACTCTCCTCCCCATCGCATCCGCTCCTGGGGACAACTAAAGCCTGCCCTGCCCAAGGTAGCACTCCAGGCCAAGGCGCTTCCCCTCGGGCCCCAGGGGCTTGTCTTAGGTTCACATCCCCTCAATGCCTTCAGATCACCCTTTAAGTCCCTTACTGGACCTTCTACTTCCATTCTTATGCTGCCAAATAGCCCCTCATTTCAGAAATGTATCCCTAGAAGTACCGCAGTGGTCTCCCTTTCAAAACCACTGGGCCAGGGCCAGGTGCATTGGTTCATGCCTGTAACCCAGCACTTTGGGAGGCTGAGATGGGTAGATCACTTGAGCTCAAAAGTTCGAGACTAGCCTCAGCAATATGGCAAAATCCCTGTCTCTAAATAAGTAAATAAAACAACCACTGGGCCGGCCTGTGCCCCTTTTTCAACTGCACCCACAGCCGGTCCTGATGAAAGCCACGTGCAGCTCTCCCCTTCCTGGCCTCCCACAACACTGGAGCTTTTTGGTTGGAACAGCTGCCTAATTCTAAAAATTTCTAACAATAGCTGCTTTATGAAGTGCTTAATCCATGCTGATGTTTCACATGCTTTTCAAATATAATCACTTAATTCTCACAATAGCCCTACAGGTGGTTTTATGACAATATCACCATTTACGCAGGATCCCTATTTTATTCACAACTGAGGCACAGAGGGGGTTAAGTACCAGGCCCGAGGTCCCAGGGCCCGAGCAATGATCTGAAACTAGGAAGTCTGGTGGGATGTGTCCGTGCTTCAGCCTCTACACTAAACTTAAGGCCTCAAACTCCTTCTGGACCTTGAGTGCAGGGCGTCCCACTGGGCTGTTTCCAGCCCTCTGGTCTCTCCAGCCCAAGGTTGGGGTTTTTTTTTTTTGTTTTTTTTTTTTTTTTAGACAGACAGAGTCTCACTCTGTCACTCAGACTGGAGTGCAGTGGTGTGATCTTGGCTCACTGCAACCTCCACTCACGCGTGGCTCAAGTGATCCTCCAGCCTCAGCCTCCCGAGTAGCTGGGACCACAGGCACGAGCCGCCACGCCCAGCTCATTTTTATATTTTTTGTACAAAGACGAGGTTTTGCCACGTTGGCGAGGCTCAGCCCAGGGTTTCCTGAGCTTGGCAACCAGCCCAGGCCCATTCCATGAGAATATGGTGTGGAGGAAGGCACTGGTAGCTTTTCTTTTTTTTTTTTTTTTTTTTTTGAGACTGAGTCTCGCTCTGTCGCCCAGGCTGGAGTGCAGTGGCACGATCTCGGCTCACTGCAACCTCTGCTTCTCAGGTTCAAACGATTCTCCTGCCTCAGCCTCCCGAGTAGCCAGGACTACAGGCGCACACCACTGCACCCAGCTAATTTTTGTATTTTTTTTTAGAGACGGGGTTTCACCATGTTGGTCAGGCTGATCTCGAACTCCTGACCTCGTGATCCACTCACCTCGGCCTCCCAAAGTGCTGGGATTACAGGCATGAGCCACTACGCCCGGCCCCCTGGCATTGGTAATTTTTTAAGCTTCCAGGTGATCTACGTAGCAGCCAGAATGAGAGCCCCAGACACAGACAAAGATCATCTGTTCCCAGCCTCACCCTCTCTGCATGGGCTCTAACAGCCTAGGAAGGAGCTACACCTGGATCACCAAGTGAAACTCCTCACTCTGGCCAGCTGTGGCACCACCACAGGGACACACTCATCACCATCCTGGTGCCTGGTGGGCACCCCAGTGTCCACCCTGTGCCACACATCATGGCCCCCTAGGCAACTGCAGCGTTTCTGCGTTTTCCTTGGCTCAGCTGCCCCCTCACACTCCATACTCCCTCGGCAGCACTGTTAAGAGACAGTCCTGGCTGGGAGCAGGTGGGGAGAGGAGGGGAGGGGCAGTGAGACCAGTAACAGAGAAGCTAGGAACAAATGCCAGAGTCCAGGCGTGAGTGGGCCATGGTGCAGGCAGAGGAGGCCGAGGGTGAGAGGCATTTAGGAGTCATAACTGACTGGGCGATGGATGGATGAATTTGGAAGGAGGCCTGGGTAGGCCCCCACCCAAACTGGAAAACGAGGAGGAAGGTTTGCACAAGATCATGAGCTCGTCTGGAGAAGCACTAAGTCACTCACCACTCACACACACAGAATGCCAGCCCCCCGCGGCCACCTCAGCCATGACTAGGCCCTGCAACGCCTCCAACAGCCGTGGCTCCAGCTCTGCCTCCAGGGTCCCATGGCCCAGCTGTCCATGCCTGAGCAAGGGAGACCGTCGTCAGCTACAGTCGCATTAAGGGGTCCCGCTCCGCTTGCTTCTCCAATCAGCAGCCCTCACCTGCCCCCGCCTCCGCTCACCTGCCCCCGCCCCAGGAGAACACCTGGCCAGCAGCGTCCAGCAGCAACGCGTGCTCGGCGCCCAGCTCCAGCTGGCGTGCCCGCAGCTCCGGAGCCAGAGGCCGGTAGAAGGGCGCCCGCGGGCTCACGTAGGCACGGGCGCAGGGCAGCAGGGGTAGCCTCCCAGCCTGGGCCTCACCGGCCGGATCGTCTTCCCCTTCGGCCTCGGGCACCACATTCTGGGCCCACAATGGCTCCCCACGCAGCGCCGATTCGGCCGCCCAGACCTGCAGTAACGCCTCCGGCCCCGGCCCGGCGCGCAGCACCGCGAGGAGCCCCTCCGAGGCCCACGCGTCCTTGCAGCGGCCCGCCGCGCCGCTGGCTGAGCCCGACAGCTCCAAGCGGCCTCCACCTGCGGGGCGGATTGGAGCAGGGTGGCCAGAATGGAGGCGGCGGGGATGGGGGGAGCGGGGTGTTCCTGGGAAGGGGTCGAATTGGGGACCAACCCAGAATGTGGGGCTGGCGGCCTGAACGGGGGAGACAAACTGGACTGGCCACAGCGGTGCGGGGAGGCGACTGGGGAGCGCGGCTGGAATAAGTGGGGACGGGGCGGGGAGTGCTCACGGGTCACGAAAGCGGTGTAGCTCCAGCTCGCGCTCACGCGGCAGATGTCGACGCCCGCCCGCAGCGGACTGGGGCTGTGCACCTGGCGCCCGCGTCCGGAGCCCAGCTCCTGCCCGAAGCCGCAGAAACCGAAGCCGAACCAGGCCCCCGGCCGCTCCTCCGCCATGCCCGAGCAGCGCCCTCTGCCGGCCGCCGCCTGGCTGCGGCGGGCCCGGGGGGATTCTTGCGAAGAGCCCGCTAGTGGGACACTGGCAAGTCTCTGGCCTTCCAGGGGCTGGAGCTGCCTTATCTGTAAAATGGAGAAACTATCATTCTCCCGACCACAAAGGCAGAGTCCGTGCCACGAAGGTTCGCTGAGCAGGCGCCCTGACTAATGCCCTACCGGATTTACAAAGATGCTCAAATATTTAGAGGCACTTTCCCTGTCCTCCCTTTTGGCTCAAGCTCAGCGTGCCACAAAGTGGGTACGAAGTGGCCTGTCCTTTAGGCATTGGACTAGGATCCGAGCGCCCCCGACACCCCCACCCCGTCCCGCAGCTTCCCAGCATCTGGCACTTTATCCCATGTAATCTTGGGAACCAAAATGGTCGTTTTACAGAGGAGATTCTGAGACAAAGTAACCCTTACACACTCATACAGCCAGACAGAGAGGGGCAGAGCGCTGAAATCAGGTCCCACCAACTCCACACACAGTGCTCTGCCCCTCTCCCCACAGCGGAACGCAGAAGAGCGTTTGGGAGGCAGTGCCTCTGCAACTCAGCGGGGCCTTGGGACCGCAGCCAATCCACCTGAGTCCAACTGCGTTTCTTCAGTTTACAAAGGGAGGTGGGGGCGGTGCTGTTTGAACCTTCCTCACAGAATTGTAATAAATGCAAATAAAGGGTTTGGTGCGAGTACATGCCATGATAAACACACAGTATTAGCTTACTGAATCCAGTATTTAGTGTTGACAAAAAAATTATCCCTGGACATCTTACTGGTTTTGAGAAACTTATACAGACAGAATTTCAACTGTACCTTATCTAGCCATTTATTCGTCCAGCGAGCATTTACTGAGCGCTCCTCCTCTGCCAGTGAGGACAGCTGTCTGCTCCCAAGGAGCTAACCGTTAAATGGGGAGACAAACAGTCTGGTGGTTACAACAGCAACGCCAACTTCAAGCAGATTCGGCTGGAGCGGGTTTGTTTTTTTTTTTTTTTAATATAATAGAGACAGGGGTCTCGCTATGCTGCCCAGGCTGGTCTCAAATTCCTGGGCTCGAGTGATCCGCCCGCCTCGGCCTCCCAAAGCGTTGGGATTACAGGCGTGAGCCGCTGCACCCGGGCTGAAGCAGAATTGCATGGGCATTTTCAGGCCTCTTAAGTCAGATCCTGGGTCTCTCCTGAGACCCCAGTTCCTGGGCTCCTAACCCCTTCCGTGTCCTCTCCCAACCCAAGGGGGCCTCTGACCTTGATCTTGACCCTATGCCCTCTACCCTCTCGGGCAGGTCCTTCTGGTGGGCAGCCTTGGAGGAAACGCCGAGGCGCAGAGCGGCCGCCTCCGGAAAGGCCTCCCGCCCAGCGGGCGCCGACAGCCACGGGGAGAAAAGGTTTGAAGGGCGCGCGGCGCGAGGCGGCCAATCACCAGCAAGGGCGGTGACGTCGCCGCCCGGGGCGCGGCGGCCGCAGCCCTGTTCAACTCCCCTTGAGGGCCTCTCCGGTCCCGAGGCCTACGCCGGGGCCCTGCGGCCCGGTCTGTGAAATGGGCTGAAACCTCCGAGGGGCGTTGGACCAAGGCCCTGGAGGAAACCGGGGGCGTTGGACCAAGGCAGAGGTTGGGCCAGGTGGTCCCGCCCCTGCAGGAACCCGTGGGGCTGGAGCTCGGATTAGAACCACAGAGAGGACATTCATTAAGACTTGAGCTAAAGGTTTGGCGAGGAGTGACGCCCAAGACGGGCGGACCCCGCCACCCACCTCAGTCCCGGGACCGCGGCAGCTCAAAACCCGACACGCGCCGGACTCATGCCCCAACAGGAAGCAGCTTTTACCTTCCACGGATTGGCTCAGGACCCGTCACGTGCCTCTGTCGAGCCAACGAGCCTCACGCTGGGCTTAGCCCTCCTCGAACGTGCTGGGGTGGTGGGCGGGGCCCAAGCCGCCCTTCAACCAGGCTCAGCTGGCCACCAACCCCAACCCCCGCCCCAGCGCCCTCAGCGGAGGCCACAGAGGACTCCCAATATAAAGACAAACGTACTGAAGGCCCAGCATATGGGAGTCTCTACCCTAAACGACTTATTTCTTGGGATAGTTTAATATTTTTTGAGATAGGGTCTCGCTGTGTCGCCCAGGCGACACTTTGGGAGGCTGCGCTCTGGGCTCACTGCAACCTTCGCCTACCGAGTAGCTGGGATTACAGGTGCATGCCGCCACACTCTGCTCTTTTTTTTTTTTTTTTTTTTTTTTTGGTATTTTTATAGAGAAAGAGTTTTGCTTGTTGCCCAGGCTGGTCTCGAACCCCTGACTTCAAGTGATCCACCTGCCTCAGCCTCCCAAAGCGCTGGGATTACAAGCTTGAGGCACCGCACCTGGTGAGTTTCTTATTGATTAGCTTCCTAGGCTTACCCTTTGTCCCTCCAGTAGGATTAAGAAGCAACTCAGTGGGCCCTGGTTGGGGAATCCATTGGATTCCTTCCATGGAGGTGGGTCTGCCACTGTGAAGCTCCGTTGCACACTCACCCACGCCCAGCTCACACCCATACTCACCCACACTCACCCACTCAGAGACTCCCACTCACAGCAGCCCTCCCTGCCCAAGGACAGGGCACACAGTGGAGTTCTACACACTTTTATTGGAGGGGCAGGCCTGATAGCAGGCTCACAGCTGGTGAGGCTGCTGATGTGTGCGCCCTTCCAGATGCCCCAGGATCCACAGGCTGTGTTGGGATGCACCTTCCCCATTCCCAGCTGACTACAGTAGTACAGAAAAAGGGCCCCTCTGAGTGAGGCTGCAGGCAGTGCTGGCCAAGCAGGGCTGTGTGACTGAACGTGGCCGCTGACTCAGAACAGAGGACATCCTAGGGCAGCAAGCGAGGATGGGCAAGAGTATTGGGCATGCCAGCCACCACCAGCCAAAGCTGCTTCCGTCCTTACTCTCCGTGCCACAATAGGTAGCGTGTGCATGAGCCTTGGGCCCAGGGACAACCCCCTCACTCTCCATCTTGGTTGGGTTGGATAAGCCCATATTCCACTGCTTTGTCCAGGCAGGCTGCAGCAGCCCTTGTGACAGGGCTGTGGTCACCCTTAGCTAGCACTGACAAGATCTCCATCATCTCACTCTCCATCAGGGTGCTGGCAATCTCCCTCGAGGCCTCCACCATGTTCAGCACCACCACAGCACCCCGGTGCTGCAGCTCCTGGTTGGAGCTCAGAAGCAGGGCCTGCAGGATCTCCAGCCAGTGTGTGGTCTGTGAGAAAAACAGGGTAGATATGACCCCTGGGCAACAGGCTCAACCTTGGCAAGGGACACACCCACACACCCTAGGACTGCCCCCTTCAGCTGCTGCTGGGAGTTCCTGGTCCGTCCCTCCTCCCCCACTGAGAAGAGGCACTGACCACTTGGGGAATGCGGCTGCAGAGCGTGGGCCGCATGGAGGTAAGCATGGCCAAGCCCCCGGCAGCTGCCCGCTGTAGCAGCTCATCATCCTCTCCACTGTACAGCACCAGCAGCTTCAGTCGGTCATTGCCCTGGGCTTCGAAGAGGTCCTGCACCTGTGGCCAGATGTGAGGAGTGGACCAAGTCAGTTGGGTGTAAAGCCCAGCCAGGGCACAGGTACCTCTGCATCCCCGCCTGTCATGAGCACCCAGACCAACCCTCACCTCCTTGCTCATGGCCAAGTTACACATGCACTCCGTGGCTGCCCGGCGGATCATCTCATGCTCCTCAAACATGTAGCCTTCTATCATGGGCACAGCCTTCTCCTTCAGGATCTTCTGCCTGCAGGGCCACAGGAGGAAGCAGCAGGGATACGGTTTGGATGTTTTCCCTTCTAACCCTCATGTTGAACTATAATCCCCAATGTTGGAGGTAGGGCCTGGTGGGAGGTGACTGGGTCATGGGATGGGTCCCTCATGGCTTGGTGCTATCCTCGTGATAGTAAGTTCTCGTGAGATCTGGTTATTTAAAAGTGCGTGGCATCTCGGCCGGGCGTGGAGGCTCACGCCTGTAATCCCAGCACTCTGGAAGGCCGAGGCAGGCAGATGACTTGAGGTCAAGAGTTCGAGACCAGCCTGGCCAACATGGTGAAACCTTGTCTCTACTAAAAAGACAAAAAAAAATTAGCTGGGTATGCTGGTGCGCGCCTGTAGTCCCAGCTACTCAGGGAGGCTGAGGCAGGAGAAGCGATTGAACCCAGGAGGTGAAGGTTGCAGTGAGCCAAGATTGCGCCACTGCACTCCAGCCTGGGCAACAGAGGGAGACTCCATTTCAAAAAAAAAAAAAGTGTGTGGCACCTCCCCCGACTGTCTCTTGCTCCTACTTTCACCATGTGATGTGCCTGCTCCTGCTTTGCCTTCTACTATGAGTAAAAGCTCTCTGAGGCCTCCCCAGAAGCTGAGCAAATGCCAATGCCATGCTTACACAGCCTGTAGAGCCAGGAAGCAATTAAATCTCTTTTCTTTATAAATTACCCAGTCTCAGGTATTCCTTTACAGCAATGCAAGAACAGACTAACACCGGCAGCATCATCAGAGTTTCTACATCTGCTCCACCCCTGCACCCACACCCTCATGCAATCAAGTCCTGGGCTGAGGATTTCCCTTGGCAATGTCCAAGGACCCTCTTGCACCAGGTATGAACTACAGTGCTTCTTAGCCTTCTAACCAGGCCTAGGAAATAGCATAGGATTGTGGGAAATGCTCAAAATTAGGATGTAGAAGACCAGGGTGGTCGTGATGGTGAGGCTAACACCTAACATTTGAGGGTTTTTGTTTCTGTGTTTTTTTGAGGCAGGATCTCACTCTGTCACCTAGGCTGGAGTAAAGTGGCATGATCACAGCTCACTGCTGTAGCCTTGACCCCCCCAGGCTCAAGTGATCCTCCTGCCTCAGCCTCTCGAGTAGCTGGGACTACAGGTGCACGCCACCACACCTTGCAAATTTTTTTTCCAACTGTTAAGTTCAGGGGTACATGTGCAGGACGTGCAGGTTTGTTACACAGGTAACCATGTGCCGTTGTGGTTTACCGCACAGATCATCCCATCACCCAGGTATTAAGCCCAGCATGCATTAGCTATTCTTCCTGATATTCTCTTTAATTTCTTTTTTAAATAGGGACGAGGTATTGCTACACTGCTCAGGCTGGCCTGAACTTCTGGGCTCCAGTGATCCTCCTGCCTCATCCTCCCAAATTGCCAGGATTACAGGTGTGAGCCACCACGCCCGGCCTCATTTGAGTATTTACCCTGACCAGGCACCTGGATCATCTTACTTAATTCTCACCATGGCCCTATACTAAAGGTGCAAGTGTGATCATCATCACTACTGTTTTGCAGAATAGGAAACGGGCTAAGTAATGAGTAATATGTTCAAAGTCACAGTTAGTAATAAAACTAAAACATGCTGGCCAGCTGCAGTGGCTCACACCTGTAATCCCAGCACTTTGGGAGGCTGAGGTGGGCGGATCACGAGGTCAGGAGATCTAGACCAGCCTGACCAACATGGTAAAGCGCCATCTCTACAAAAATACAAAAATTAGCCAGGCGCGGTAGCACGTGCCTATAATCCCAGCTACTCAGGAGGCTGAGGCAGGAGAATCGCTTGAACCTGGGAGGCAGAGGTTGCGGTGAGCTGAGATCATGCCACTGCCCTCTAGGCTGGGTGACAGAGCAAGACTCCGTCTCAAAGAAAAAAAAAAACTAAAATATACTGATATGGCACAATGCTAGGGGCCAGGTACCCATGTAGTAAGTACTTTTAGGTGTATTTTCTCATTTTATTCTCCTCATCACTATGCCATGAGGTAGGTACTATAATCATCCCATTTCACAGAGGGAGAAACTGAGACAGAGCAGTTAAGTAACTTGCTTGAGGTTGCCCATTTGCAATCAGGGAAGCGAGGCAGTCTGACTCTAGAGTCTGCCGTGCCGTGCTGCCTCTTGGCCTGTCGCCTCCTCTCTAATGATGCGGAGCAGTCACTGTGAGGCTCACAGAAGCCCATGACCAAGGAGTGTTTCCCAATGTGTAAACTGCTGTGGGGGATATTCCGAATCCCGATGCCTGGTCCAGGCCCCGCAATCCCAAGGGACCTTACCGGAGCCTCTCGCTGATCCCAGCCAGGTTTGTTAGGGCCATGAGCGCCTCGAAGTTCTGCAGGCCTGAGCAGTTGAGGTGCAACAGGGAGACGAGGGGCCGGACCACCTCATAGATCTGCAATGTGCACCCCACCTGTCAGGGGTACTTGCCGCAGCCCCCACAAGCCCCACCAACCCTGCAGGGAGAAGCCCACCCCCAAGAGAGTACTGCTGTCTCAGGCTGTCCTCCCTGCCCCAGGCCTTGACAAAGCTGAAACTTCCTGCTGGTCCCAAAGGGGAGCTACAGCCCAGCCCACAGGCCATCAGGGACAGAGGGAGTGGAAAGGCCGGGGCAGGAAGACACGTACCCGCTCGCCAGGGAAGGTCATCTCCGGGTTGGAGGTGATGGTGAGCTTGGCAAGGGCCTGGGCTGCCTTTGTCTGCCCCACGTCCGTGCCTTCCAGGGCCAGCGGGATCAGCGCCTGTAGGAACAAGCCCGTCACTGCTCAGGACATCCCTGGGAGTAAGACCCCGACCATCGGGCTCCCCAGCCCTGACCGTGCCACCCTCACCTTCCTCCCTCTCCCCAGGCTTGACTCCCTGTGCAGACCCTCTGCATCCAAACACTTCCTGAAACACCTAATAAGGGCTGGACATGGATTGTGCTGAGCACCAGGGCCATGGGGGTAAATGAGACAAAGGAACAGTAGAGCCTAGGACCTTCACAGGCACCAGTGTGGAGGGGCCAAGGAGCTTGCCTGCTTCCGCGTCACTCTCTCAGCGGGACGGTGTTCCTCTGGCCATTAATGTTTTTCTGTTCCATATCTAACACCCAGCTCTGGCGTGGCAGCTGCTGAGTCATGTTTTATAGGCTGATGGCTCAGCCATCAGGAAGGGGTGTGTAAACCAGCTTACCCTGCCGCCTCCCTGGGCAACCACAGTGCCTCGGTCCTCTACCTCTTCCACTAAAGCCAAGAAGACCCTGTGGGGAGAAGGCGGTGGTGGGCAGGCAGCTCTGGGACTCTGGCAGGCAGACGCTGCACTCCTAGGCTCAGCAAAGACGGCAGCCACGCAGGCAGCCCCCGTCGCTCTAAGAGGCCCACAGCACTGGAACCTGCACCCTCTGGAGCCACATCTGCAGCCCTGAGGCTCAGGAGTTGGGAAAGGTTGGCTCCTACCAAGGCTGGCTCACCTGGAGAGCAGCTCTCTGCAGGAACTGGTCAGCACAGGGCTCTCCGTCTTCACCATGCACACCATGGCCGACACCACACCCGCTGCCAGCAGCTTCTTCACCCGAGCCCGCACGAAGCTTGGCTTGTCCTGGGGGAGGAGGCAGCTTAGGAGAGGGGCCTAGGCTGACTCACAGAGAAAGGGGGACCCTTCTCACAGCAGTAATTGAGGAACTGGGAAATAAAACAGCCAGACAAAAGGAAACAAACTGGCTTAAAAGGGAGGCTGTTGGCTGGGCACGGTGGCTCACACCTGTAATCCCAGCACTTTGGGAGGCTGAGGCAGGCGGATCACGAGGTCAGGAGATCGAGATCATCCTGGCTAACACGGTGAAACACTGTCTCCACTAAAAATACAAAAAATTAGCCAGGCATGGTGGCGGGCACCTGTAGTCCCAGCTACTCGGGAGGCTGAGGCAGGAGAATGGCATGAACCCGGGAGGCGGAGCTTGCAGTGAGCCGAGATCGCATCACTGCACTCCAGCCTGGGAGACAGTGAGACTCCATCTCAAAAAAAAAAAAAAAAAAAAAGGGAGGTTGTTCTGCTGTGGATGCCCTGGGTTAGCTGTCCCCATGGTGGGGAACCCTCTAGCCCCTCTGGCGGCCCCTCACCTTGGGGTGCTGCTCGGGCACATGCTGCTTGGCATACTTGGCCAGCTCCACCATCTTGGGGTCGGGCTCCTCGTAGTCATAGCTGTTGGTGCAGTTCACCAGCGCTGAGGCCACCGCAAAGAGCACTGACCTCTCCTCCAACTGCCAGGACACAGAGGAATTCACATGGGCATCCCGGGGCAGAGCAGTACTCAGATAAATGCTGCCCAGGCCCAGGCCCCCAATTCCACCCTCAGCTGGGACCCTTGGGTACAGGATGAATTCGGGAAACTCCCAGGCCCCAGACTTTGGGAGCTTACAAACTTGACCTCCCCAGCTCCTCCAAGAAGAACGTCCTTGCTAACACCACTGGTGCTGGCCAACATGCCCACACTACACAGAGCAGCCACTCAGCCACCAGCCCTCTTCCCTGGGGTCAAAAGACCCCATTGGCCAAGCCCTGCCGAGAAAGCCTGGTAAGGTCTAATCCTAGACAGTGTCCCCAGGCTGACGGCAGGAACCACAGAGCTACCCTGCTGAGCTGGAACAGAGCTTTCAGAGCAGCCGCATCCTCCACAAACTCTTCCTTCACGTCGGCATCAAAGGTCAGGTAAGCCAGGCCCTCCACTGCCCAGCGCCGAGTGCCTGCGTCGATCTGGTCATTGCACAGCCACCTGGGGACACGCAGGATAGTGGACGACCCTCAGGATTGGGGGTACGGAGGGGTACACCAAGGCCAAGGGGGAAAAACCAAGGGTTTGGGCATCCCCTCAATGTACAGAAGCAGTTCACGTACCAGGATCCAGACTGCAGCCCCTGCCTGAGCCAGAGAGCAGGACGGAGGAGGCCCCAACCCCCACCCAGACCCCTGTGTCTTGAGATCTACCCCACAGGTGGGGAACCACAGCAAGGCCAGATGACTCACTTTCGACACTGCTTAGCCAGTTTGAGAGTGGAGCCTTCAGCAAACTGCTTCATGCTGAAGTCAGTCCCTCCAGCCGAACCGAGCTTACAGAGTCCCTGGAGGAAGAGGGCAAGACCAGTTGGCCTCTGGGGAAGGAGGCAGGAGCTGAGCTCCTCCACACCTGGCTTGGACTCCCTCCCTGGCACTCTGCCATGGCCCCCTGGAAGCTACACAGACAAATCAGCACCCTCTCCCTCCAGACCACCACCTAGAGCATGTGGCAAGAAAATCAGCTACTGGGGTGGCCGCATGACACAGCATCTGCAGACACTGATGCGCTGGCCGCTGGACAGTCGTGGGCCCCACCCCTTCCCAGGCCACACTGAGAATGGCTCTGTTTCCTTCCATGTCGCACAAAGAAGCCCTCTGCAGGTGGAGTTGAGAGGCATGTGGGGAGAGGACAGGTGCTTCAGCCACAGCCAAATCCTTATGGGATGGAGAAATCCAGGACTGAGTGCCCCAGGGAGGAAGACCAGCTTCCACAGGGTGCACAGCCACAACAGGCTCATGGAGGGCCAGGTAGTCCCCAAACCCCCAAACCACCAGCTCCCAGGAACACTGCATGACCCCTGCAGGCCCAGTCTTAAGCCCCATGGAGGGAGGAGCCATGCCGATGTCTCTCACCACAAGAAAGCCCAGAATCTCGTTCATTCATCCATTTATTTTAGAGAGGGTCTTGCTGTGTTGCCCAGGCAGGAGTGCAGTGACATGCGTGACTCACCACAGCCTCAACCTCCTGAGCTCAAGTGATCCTCCTGCCTCAGCCTCCCAAGTAGCTGGACCTATAGGCATGCACCACCAAGCCTAGCTAATTTTTTTGGCATTACAGTATTCCTTATTTTCATCTGGAGTGTGCTGGGGCCACACCCTGCAACACCGGCTGGACCAGGACCCCTGCCTGGCTGCCTGCCCACCCACCCCAGGCCCACCGTCTCACCACTAGCGCCCGGATGCGGATGCTGTCCTTCTCGCTGCACTTATATAGGTCCTTCAGCAGCGAGACACCATTGGCAGTGATGAATGAGGCCCGCTTAGCCTTGCCGGCTGCATGGATCAGAGCCTCCACGGCCACCAGCTGCTCCTCCTCCTGCTCAGAGGCACACAGAGCAATCACACTCTCCATGACACCGCTCAGCTCCAAGGCCCGGTTGCCAGCGTCACATGGGCCCTGCAGGAGGCAGGACACCGTCTGGATGGCCCGTAGCTTCCCGGCCAGCCCTTGGCCCTCAAACCAGCTCCTGAGGGGCACAGGGTGACAGCCGTCACACCAAGGCCAACATAAAGGGACTCTTCTTCCCTCCCTTCCCCTCCACTGGCCAGGCACCTGCACTACTTGGGCAGAAACAGCAGGAAAGCTGCCAATGGGAGGACTAGGACGTTTCCACCTGGACAATAATGGCTGATTTTCTTTATCGACTTTCACTCAAGCCTTCCCTGACATAGTATCTAATACAGGTTACTCCCATACCACCAGTGATGTCCCTTCCTGGACTTAAGCTCTGAAATGATTCGGCTTATTTCATAATTTATCATCAGTTTTCTCCCCAACAGCTGTAAGCTCCTTTAATTTTTTTTCTTTCTTTTTTTTTTTTTTTTTTGAGACAGAGTCTCACTCTGTCCCCAAGGCTGGAGTGCAATGGCGTGATCTCGGCTCACTGCAACCTCCACCTCCTGGATTCAAGCGATTCTCCTGCCTCAGCCTCCCAAGTAGCTGGGATTACAGGCACCCACCACCACACCTGGCTAATTTTCTGTATTTTTAGTAGAGATGGGGTTTCACCATGTTGGCCAGGCTGGTCTCGAACTCCTGACCTAAGGTGATCACCCACCTGCCTCCACCTCCCAAAGTGCTGGGATTACAGGTGTAAGCCACCACACCTGGCCTATAATCTCCTTTAAGAACAAGGACTGTCGCCTGGACGCGGTCCTCATGCCTGTAATCCCAGCACTTTAGGAGGCCAAGGCGGGCAGATCACCTCAGGTGTGAGGTCAGGAGTTCGAGACCAGCCTGGCCAACATGGTGAAACCCCATCTCTACTAAAAATACAAAAATTAGCCAGGCGTGGTGGTGGGTGCCTATTATCCCAGCTACTTGGGAAGCTGAGGCAGGAGAATTGCTTGAACCTGGGAGGGTGGAGGTTGCAATGAGCCAAGATCATACCATTGTACTCCAGCCTGGGCAACAAGAGCGAAACTCCATCTCAAAAAAAAAAAAAAAATCCCAGCACTTTGGGAAGCCAAGGCAGGCGGATCACCTGAGGTCGGGAGTTCGAGACCAGCCTGACCAATATGGAGAAACCCCGTCTCTACTAAAAATACAAAATTAGCTGGGTGTGGTGGTGCATGCCTGTGATCCCAGCTACTCAGGAGGCTGAAGCAGGAGAATCGCTTGAACCCTAGAGGCGAAGGTTGTGGTGACCTGAGATCATGCCATTGCACTCCAGCCTGAGCAACAAGAGTGAAACTCTGTCTCAAGAAAAAAAAAAAAAGGACTGTCATGTTTCATCTGTGTGGGAACAGAAGCGTAGGAAGTGTTTGGTAAACCCAGTACGTGCTTGATGGCGTTTGTTGCATTATTGGAACATTGACTTGAGAAAGAACCTCCCTGCGGAGGCCACTTTGGAGCAGGAAGTGGGCCTTGGGGCCACTTTCCCTTTGTTCAGCCTCCAACTAGTCCTCCCCAAGATTACTGTTTCTGCTGGAAACCTTTCATTTCTGCCCCTCCTCAAGGAGTCAGAACTTTTTCGCTAGAATCCCTGGCAACGGGAGGTGAAACAGACTTCCTTACTTGATGTAGTTTTCACAAAGTCTGTGGAAATTCTCCCTCTCCGCATCACACTTGAGGTCATCAAAGAGCTTGCTGAGGAGAATAGAGGCGCTCATGCGGCTGTTTGCGGTCACTGCGAGCTCCCCAGGAGGGTCCTGTAGAGAGCCCCCCACTTCCAAAATCTTTTTCAGACCTGTAAAGACACCCCGCTTAGACAGTAGAACACTAGTTCCAACCCCTACAAGTAAAAGAAACAGGCTTCCTAGGAGATGTGGAGAAAAGCAAGACAAGAAGGCTACAGAGTTCTGACAACTGTGTCCAGGGCAGCCCGGAGAATCTGCTTAGCTGATCTGCTACCTAAGGGAGGCGGCTGTAGGATCGGGAAGGACCTCAGAAGTGAGGCCTGCATGCCAGCCCTGCCCCTGGGGCCAAACGCTCTGGAGCTTTTGAGGTTCCTCATCTGTAAAACTAAGGGGAAAAGAATATCCACACCTCATAGGACCATTGTGAACACGATACCCACACCTCGTAGGACCACTGTGAACACAATAGACACACCTCGTGGGACCACTGTGAACACGATACCCACACCTCGTGGGACCACTGTGAACACGATATCCACACCTCATAGGACCATTGTGAAAGGCCCTGCTCATGCAAGGCCTTTGCAAAGCTTTTCTTATTTATCTTTTTTTTTTTTAAGACAGAGTCGCCCTGTTGCCCAGGCTGGAGAGCAATGGCGCGATCTCGGCTCACTGCAGCCTCCGCCTCCTGAGTTCAAGTGATTCTCCTGCCTCAGCCTCCAGAATAGCTGGGATTACAGGTGCATGCCAGCATGCCTGGCTAATTTTTTGTATCTTTTAGTAGAGACGGGGTTTCACCATGTCGGCCAGGCTGGTCTCAAACTCCTGATCTTGTGGTCTGCCCACCTCGGCCTCCCAAAGTGCTGGGATTATAGGCGTGAGGCACCACGCCCAGCTCTTATTTATCTTTTAGGGGAAAAGAGAGATGAATTGATATATCTACCGTTATTTTTTCCTCTGAGTATAGAAGTAATACATGCTCACTCAAACAAAAAAAAAAAAAAAAAAAAAAAAACAGGGCACAATGGCTCATGACGGTAATCCCAACACTTTGGGAGACCAAGGTGGGTGCATTGTTTGAGGTCAGGAGTTCGAGACCAGCCTGGCCAACATGGTGAGATTCTATCTCTACTACAACTACAAGAATTAGCCGGGCATACTGATGCGTGCCTATAATCCCAGCTACTCGGGAGGCTAAAGCAGGAGATTTGCTTGAACCCGGGAAACGGAGGCTGCAGTGAGCTGAGATCGCGCCACTGCACTCCAGCCTGGGCGACAGAGTGAGACTCTGTCTCAAAAAAAAAAAAATACAGAAAGCTAATCCAGCCTCTCTGCTAACCTGCTTGCAGGCCCGCTCAATGTGCATGTATGTGCACACGCATATGATAGAAGAGTCTAACTTTGAGCCCCCTAAGGGTAGCTCTTGTGTCTAGAAGGTGTTGTAAGAGCTGAATCCCATTGCTCTGGAAGATCTTCTCAGCTCCAGCATCCTCCTGGGCCACAGGACGCACTTCAGTGCAGACACGTGGCTGGAGATAATCACAACTTTTCTTTCTTTTTTTTTTTTTTTTTTTTGAGACAGTCTCCCTCTGTTGCCCAGTCTGTAGTGCAGTGGTACAATCACAGCTCACTGAAGACTTGACTTCCCAGGGTTAAGTAATTCTCCCACCTCAGCCTCTGGAGTAGCTAGGACTGCCGATGCACACCACCATGCCCAGCTAATTTTTTTTAATTTTTCATAGAGACAGGGTCTCGCTATGTTGCCCAGGCTGATCTCAAACTCCCGGCTTCAAGTGACCCCCTGCCTCTCAAAGTGTGTCATCCACCATGCCTGGCCCCACTCACAACTTTTCTTATTACTCCTAAGAATAAACAAACTTCAGCTGCTGAAGCAAGTTTTTGTGAACTATATCACCTACCTTGGTCGATGACCCAGAGGGTGAGGCTGTTGTTGGGGTCCTTGAGAGACTTCCGGGGCACCGCTTTAATCAGGAGGGTCAGGGCATTGTCTCGGCCTTGGCCAGAGACCCCCACCTCTGTCAGCAGATCTAAGAGGTTACTGATGAGGACCTTCAGCTCCCGGGCAGGATCTGGCAACAACAAGAAGACATCAGTGGGCTCCACAGCAGCCCAGCCCAGTTTGACCCTTCAACTTCTCCAACAAACCAGGGAGACACAGGGAAGGGGGGATCCGCATCCCAGGCTCCAGACTGAGCTCCAGCTTTGTCCTGAGGCACCTTGGTTGCTGAGAATCTAGAGTAAAATAATGTCACCAAACCGTATTCCAAACAACCTGCAGCTGCAAGTCTGGTCCCCAAAAAACTGGCCTGGCTGGCTCAGCCCCATCCCTTCCATGACAGTAACGTCCAAAAGACCCCAGACCTGCTTCCACTCACCCACAATGATGGCACCTTCTTTGCCTCGGAAGCCTTTTTTGACACCTTCCTTGAGGGCATCAAACATAACCTGCAGCAGGTGGCAGGCAGCCAGGGACACAGCCTGGCTTTCCACGCCCAGGATGGAGACTACTCGCCGAGTTCCCAGTATGCTCAGGGTTGCCACTGTCTGGGGTGGGAGAGGTAAACAGAAGGAAGCTTCCAGTTGTTGAAGGGCAGCCACAGAGATCCCTAACTGTGAGTTAGAGGATACGGCCAGAAGGAGAGAATTGGGTGGAAGGCCCAGCTCCAGGTGAAAACAACACAGAATGGATGGCATGACCCAGGGTAATGGCAGGATAATTTTGTTAGAAAGATTTCCTAAAGGAGACATTACACGGCAATGCCCTACTACCTCTCCTTGGTGCCAGAGAAGACATAGTATACTGCAGCCCTGGGAGCAGCTGCCTTAGCTCATGCCTCCCCAAGAAAAAGACCTATACCTAGACGAAGCTACCTGACCACCAGGCTTAATGGTCTAGTTCTTCCCCAGTCTAAACCCTGAGGTTCTTTCCACACCCTGGGGATGTGGACGTCACGTACACGGAATGGGCCCGTGAGACCTCTCCACCCAGTTTCTTTCTTTTTTCTTTTTTTTTTTTTTTTTTGAGACGGAGTCTTGCTCTGTCGCCCAGGCTGGAGTGCAGTAGCGCGATCTGGGCTCACTGCAAGCTCCACCTCCCAGGTTCACGCCATTTCCCTGCCTCAGCCTCCTGAGTAACTGGGATTACAGGCGCCCGCCACCGCACCCGGCTAATTTTTTGTATTTTTAGTAGAGACGGGGTTTCACCGTGTTAGCCAGGATTGTCTCAATCTCCTGACCTCGTGATCTGCCCGCCTCGGCCTTCCAAAGTGCTGGGATTACAGGCATGAGCCACCGCGCCGGGCCCTCTCCACCCTGTTTCTAAGCTGGAGAACCCTAGAAGGCCTGCTTGGTCCACTGAGCCCAAATCCTGACTGCTTCCACTTAGCAGCTAAGTGTCCTTGGCCAAGACTGTGAACTGGAATGGACCGGAAGGCAGGAGGGAACAGAATGCACATGCTTTTAACAGTCTTAGCCTTGGGAGACCCAGAATGCAGCCCAAGCTTAGCCTAAAGAGATTTCATTGACTATTTCACAGTTTCACCCCTATCTAGGAATTGTGGGCTCCTCTAAAAGCAACCAAGGGCCTAGTCTTTGGTCCCCTCTCCCCTGGAGCAAGCCAGCTCAGGTAAGAGCTGGGGGCATGGACTTCACCACACTGGCCCAGGAGCAGGACTGTTATTGCTGCACTGTCCATGCTGGGCCACCACCATCCATGCTGAGAATCATGTCGGGATCAAGCCCTACGTGTCCGGTCACTGTCTCGATGGTAGATGCTGTGGTGGCCAGGCACATTCTGGGCCATGAGCTTGCTTGTGCCATATGGACATTGAAGGAGTCAGTGACCAATGTGTTTTTGTGAGTTGGCTGCAGGAAAGCTGGGGCTCACACTTGTAAGCCCCCTACAAAGCAAGTGCTTGGGGTACCCCAAGGCTGTTTTTGCTCTTTCTACCCCACTTCATCCTAATTTATGTTGGTCTTTTTCACGCCATTTTTATTTTTTCTCTCTTGTTACATGTATCTCCTTGTACTCTGCCTTTTCTTTTTTTGTTGTTTTGTTTTGTTTTGTTTCTGAGATAGTCTCGCTCTGTCACCCAGGCTGGAGTGCAGTGGCGCGATCTCAGCTCACCACAACCTCCACCTCCTGGGTTCAAGCAAGTCTCGTGCCTCAGCCTCCTGAGTAGCTGGGATTACAGGCGTGCACTACCATGCCCGGCTAATTTTTTTATTTTTAGTAGAGACAGGGTTTCGCCTTGTTGGCCAGGCTGGTCTTGAACTCCTGACCTCAAGTGATCCACCTGCCTCAGCCCCCCAAAGTGCTGGGATTACAGGTGTGAGGCACCATAACCTACCTAAGTTCTTTTTAGAATAAGGTAAGGGGTAGAGGGTGGAAGAGTGGATGGATGGATGGACGGGCAGATGGGCGGATGGACAGATGGGTGGATGGAGGAATGGATGGACAGACAGACAAAGGGACTGAAGCTGTAACCAGCCTCTCCACTCCACCTACCCGTGACTGATGCTCAGAGCAAATGCCAACCAGCGTACGCAGAGCCGCCAGCATGAGGTCAGTCTCTCCCATGTCCAGTAAACGTTGCAAGAGCTGAACCCCATTACTCCGGAAGATCTTCTCCGCTCCAGCATCCTCCCTGGCCAGCACCACCAGGTTCTGAGAAGCCTGCGTCAAAGGAAGCACATTATAATGTTGACACTGCACACGGCATAGGATGCAGCACTGGTGAGCAGGGGCCCCGAGCCCTGGACCTCTCTGCTTCCACTTCACAGTTGAGTGACCACGGCCAAAAAATAACCTCTTTGAAGTTTAGCTTCCTCTGTAAATAGAGGGAAGAGCCTTCTCTCGGGATTGATGGTTAGAGCAAATGAGTCCCCAGCAGAGCCTGAGGGGCTGGGACAGTGCCTCAGTTACCTCTGTACACCCAGTTCCTGGCACAGGGCGTGGCCAACAAGGTACTCTGTGAACACTGGTTCTCTTTCCTTGGTTCACGCTAAAGCCCCAGACCCTCAGAGCTCCCATCCAGGCCCCGTGAGCCCAGCTGCACGATTGGAGGAGCGGCAGAGCAAGGCAGCAGTGGCTTCGGGGGCCTATGGATGGGTGGCTCTAGTGGGAGCTCACTCACTGACTCAGCCCAGGGCCTATACCTTTTGCTTTTTCTCAGTGCCCTTCTCTTCTGGGTCCAACAGTATCTGAAACATCTGTTCCACTTTGGCATCCGTCGAGGACATGTATCGCACCTAGACAAACCAACAAAGCATGGAACAAATCACGGCTCTTGGCCAGAGACATCACACTCCCTATTCATTTGTCTCCAGCTCCTCACTCTGGGAGGCACAGTAAAGATGTCCAGGCTCAGGGCTAGCACCTAGCTACCCTGGGCAGGAAGAGACTTGCCTGGCAGTGCCTCCTAAATTTCCCGCACCTGTTTTTCTTTCTGAGCTATTTCCTGCTTGGGCAGCAGGGGCTGCGCCGATGCTGGAGTGCCTTTTCGGAGGGGAGGTATCCTGTCAGCTACGAGGCAACCCACTCCCAGTGGTGCCATCTACATTGTGGCAGCGTGAATGGGCTTCCCATGGCACTGAACTCAGCATTTATACCTCCTGCCAGGGAGCTGGCAGATCGTGAGGTAGTTGCTAACACTTCCTTTAGCTCCAGAATTCTCTTTTCACTGTTTTAAAAATAATCTGAGCTGGGCGCAGTGGCTCCCGCCTGTAATCCCAAAACTTTAGGAGGCCAAGGCAGGTGGATCACCTGAGGTCAGGAGTTCAAGACTAGCCTGGCCAACAAGGTGAAACCCCATCTCTACTAAAAATACAAAAAATTAGCCGGGCGTGGTGGCAGATGCCGGTAATCCCAGCTACTCGGGAGGCTGAGGCAGGAGAATCACTTGAACCCAAGATGCGGAAGTTGCAGTGAGCCGAGATCACGCCACTGCACTCTAACCTGGGCAATAACTGTGAAACTCTGTCTCAAAAAAATAAATAAATAAAATCTGAAGCCAGGCACGGTGGCTCACGCCTGTAATCCCAACACTTTGGGAGGCCGAGGTGGGCAGATCACCTGAGGTCAGGAGTTTGAGACCAGCCTGGCCAACATGGTGAAACCCCGTCTCTACTAAAAATATAAAAATTAGCCAGGTGTGGTGGCGGGTGCCTGTAATCCCAGCTACTCGGGAGGCTGAAGCAGGAGAATCGCTTGAATCTGGGAGGTGGAGGTTGCAGTCAGCAGAGATCCACTGCACTCCAGCCTGGGTGACAGGATAAGACTGTCTCAAAACAAACAAATAAATAAATAAATAAATAATCTGAATGGGGAAGATCATCCTAGGCCTACTCCCCCACCCCCCAGAGTCCTGGGCATAGATGGTGGCACAAGCCTAGCATGTGGACCACCCGCCTTCCTCTCTTGCATCCATGGCAGCCATGACTAACCAGTCATGGCACGTTCCCCTGCTTGGCTCAGGCAATCTGCTTCCTAATTCTTCTCAACATAGGACTCTGGGCAGCCACTGCCAATCAGAGTTGGCATTGAGAGAGGAAACCTATTTGCTTTCCCAGGCTTCAACATTTCAGTGAGGTGTCTGCCATCATGTTATCTGCTTCCACTGTGTCAGCATTTTAACGTCAAATTATCTGGCGAATTTGAGCTTGGTTGTAGCTCATAATGGTCTTTAGATTCTTTTCTCCTAATTTAAAAATATACGTATTTTACACAATTTCTCTTTATTAAAAAAATATGAACAGGTGATGCAGTCTCCTTTGGAAAGCCCTCTCAATCCCATTCCTTTCCCCAGGGGTCACCGTGTTATCATTTTGATGTATATCTTTTAAAATATTTTCCTGAAAAAATAAAGAAACAAAAATGCATATTTGGCCCAGTGCCATGGCTCACGCCTGTTATCCCAGCCAGTTGGGAGGCTGAGGTGAGTAGATCCCTTGAGCCTAGGAGTTCAAGACCAGCCACCTGGGCAACACAGTAAAACCCTGTCTCTACAAAAAATATAAAAATTAGGCGAGCGTGGTGACATGCATTTGTCCCAGCTACTTGGGAGGCTGAAGTGGGAGGACTGCTTGAGCCCGGGAGGAAGAGGTTGTACTCCAGCATGGGTGACAGAGTGAGACCCCGTCTCAAAATACATAAATAAATAAAAATAAAAATAAATTTAAAAAATAAAATATTTTCGGCTGGGTGCAGTGGCTCACACATGTAATCCCAGCACTTTGGGAGGCCGAGGCAGGCAGATCACAAGGTCAGGAGCTCCAGACCATCCTGGCCAACACAGTGAAACCGCATCTCTACTAAAAATACAAAAAATTAGCCGGGCGTGGTGGCAGGCCCCTGTAGTCCCAGCTACCTGGGGGACTGAGGCAGGAGACTCACTTGAACCTGGGAGGCAGAGGTTGCAGTGAGCCAAGTTCGCACCACTGCACTCCAGTGTGGGCGACAGAGCAAGACTCCGTCTCAAAAAAAAAAAAAACAATTATTTTCCTTTGTATTTACATACCCAAGTGTACCCACAGAAAAAATATAGCATTGTTTTGCTATGTAGGGGATCATTAACATAAATGATATTATACTATATGTGTTATTGTATATTTTTCTTCTTCTTTTCTTTTTTGAAAGAGACAGGGCCTCACTCTGTCAGCCAGGCTGGAGTGCAGTGGCACGATCATAGCTCACTGTAACTGCAAAATCCAGGGCTCAAAGGACTCTCCTGCCTCAGCCTCACAGGTAGCTGGGACTACAAGGGTGTGCCACCACACCCAGCTAACTTTTTAGGTTTTGGTAGCAACAGGGTCTCACTATGTTGCCCAGGCTGGTCTCAAACTCCTGGCCTCCAGTGATCATCCCATCTTGGCCTCCAAAAGCACTGGGATTACAGGCATGAACCACCATGCCCTGCCTATTTTGCTTTGTTCATTCAACAAGTGTCCCAGAGCTTCCCATTTCAATATGTGTGTATCTACCTATTCTCAGTAACTATATAAGAGTCTGTAGTAAGGACATTACCCATTTATTCAGCCATTCCTCTATGGCTGGGCATTCAGGCAAGTTCCAAGTTTTTCTTACTACAAAAAAGGCTGAAATAAACATACACATGTCTACTTGTGCACGTGGACAAGGTTTCTCTGAGAGAAACAGCAAGAAGTAAACATATGGGATCACAAGATACGCTCATTTGAAATTGAATAGATATGCTAAAGTACTCTCGAAAAGAGCTGTACCAATTTATACCCCTCCAGCAGTCATCAGAGAGCCCTTGGCCCCCAGCCTCACCACTGATGTGTCTGCCTCTCTCCTTCTCGAAAAGTGTACAAACTTTTAAATATCTGCCAGACAGACCTCCAAATCAACAGTAATGTGCTGTCATCTTAATTTGCTTTTCCCTGGCCACAGGCAAGGTTCACTTGCCACCGGGATCTCGTCTGGAGAACTGTGTCTACACCCCTGGCCCAGACCCCTTCACCACCAGTCAATGCTTCCACCTCTCTGGGTCACTCACATACCTTCTCCTGAATCTGGCCCCCGATGTTCCGCAAGGCCTCCTGGAAAACTTTGTTCTTGGGCTCCAAGCTCACACATCTCTGCAGGTCAAGGACAGCCTGGTCCAGGCGGCCCAGCTTCTCTAGGGCTTGGCTCCGCCGGTAGAGTGCTTTGACATCCCCACCATCCTTTTCAATGGCTGAGCACAAACAGGAGCGCTGTCAGCACCCATGAGGCCACTGTCTCCAGGCAAGAGCAGTAGGGAAAGATCTCGAGGAAAGGCCAGAAGAAGGTGGGGGGGACGAATGTGGGGCTCGGTGCTTCAGCCTCAGAAAAGGTGAGGGTAGCTGCAGAAAAGGAAAGGCCCGAGGCAGTGGGAAAGAAAGAAGGCAGATGTGTCTCTGGGGCCAAAGGAGGAGAATGTGACGGTGCAGCGGTCCCAGAGTCCTTGCCCACCACAGAAGCCCTACAGCTCCACACCAGGGCCCACCATTCCCCTACCTTTGGATGCCTCTGTTTCTGCTTTGTCGTAATCTTCCTGTAAGAGAAAGACAGGAGCCTGAAGGAATGGTCATCTCCCTCTCGGGGCACTAACCAGGCAGCAGGGGTACTCTCGCTCTCCAAGGTCACCCGATCCCCCACCACCCTGAGGTGCAAAAAACATCTGGCAAGCGGGGATGGCCTGGGAGCGTGAATGTCCAGCTGGGGCCCAAGCATCAGCTTAGATGGGCGAACCGGGGCCCGGGCGGGCGAGGGGAAGAGCGCCAGGCTCCCTCACCAGCTTGAGGTGGCAGGCGGCCCGGTTCCGGTGCAGAACGGCCTGGTCCTGGGGCGTCGCGTCCAGACCCAGGGCCTGAGTGTAGGCCGCCAGGGCGCCCCCGTAGTCTCCACATTTGAACAGCTCATTGCCCTCCTTCCGCAGCTGCTCCACTGAGCTGGCCTGTAGAGAGAAAGGGGGCGGAAACGTCGGAGGGGGTTCGGGGCAGAGCCCGGGAGCTAAGGGGAGAGGAGAGGAGGGATCGGGGCGAGCCTCATGGATGGGGAGAAGGAGGCCAGGGATGGTCAGGGCGGGTGCGAAGGGGTGATGGCGCGGGGGTTGGGTACGCACCCCGGGGGTGGCCGGCCGGGGCTCGGGGGTCCCTGGACCACTCACAGTCATCGCGGAGAGGTTGTCTCGTGCCCGCGCAGGCGCAGTCTCTGGGGCGGGGCGAGTCTGGGTTCGGGACGCCACCGGCAGCTGCCCCGCCCCACTCTTGCGTCGGAGGTGGGGTCAGAGAGGGGCAGGGCTAAGGAGGGAGCGCGCCCGGGCAGGGGCGGGGCGCTTGGCTCTGGATCGCAGGTGCAGGCAAGCTCCGGGCGCACCTAAGCTGTCCCCGCAGAGACCTGCAGGGAGCTCGCGGCGGAGGACCCAGAGGGAGGCCTGCGGTGGCTCCAGCCCAGACTCCGGCCCCGACCGCAGCAGAAGTGCACGAGGTCTACGGTCATCAGGGTCACAACCAGTAGGTTGTAGAGGCCCAGCACTAGGAGCGGGCCTGGGCCCCTGCGGGAGAGAAAAAGTATCTGGATCCCGGCCCCGACCGCGCTCTCGCTGCTGCGCTCTGTGGGGGGTACAGAATCCCTGGGAGTCCGGAGAAAGCTCAGGACTCCCTCCCCAAATAAGTGTCGTCTTACATACACACATTTGCATACGAATTTAGGAGCTCATCCTAGAGCCACCCATGGGCAGATTCAGGATGGCTCCCCATTACCAGCTTGCACAGCCCCCTGAACTTCTCCTTTGTAATTGTAATCATGATCTACATGATTTTCTGTTGCGGTCTGTCCCTTCACTAGTCTGTAAGTTACAAGCCTACCACCCCATAATTTAGGAACAGAGCCCCAGATACTGGAACACCCTGTCGATGTTCCAGTGGCTCTGGGGTTGGAGATCTCACCTGAGGATGGGCGGGGGCGGAAGAGCGGACAGATTGACTTGGTACAGGGCCTCAAATTCAGCCCGGGTGCAGCAGGAGCCCCCTGCAGCCTGCAGGTGGCAGCAGTAGGCTTCCTCTGGAGAATCAGACAGACGAGGGCAAAAGAAACCAGGGTAGTGACGGCCATGGACATCCCGGGTGGTCTGGCACAAGTGAGGGTGGTGGACCAGAGCTGAAGAGAGAGGTGGGGGTGCTAGAGACAAGCAGGAGGGGCCTTTCCACAGCTCACTCCACCCCTACTGGAGAGTAAAAGAGATCAGCCCCTACCAGAAGAAAAGATGCCCTTCCACCCATCCCCATCAGTTCCAGTTCCCAGGAATAGCCCATAGCACCAGAGGCAGGTGGGCCACAGGGGTAAGTGCTGTACCTGAGAGAGAGGTTGGCTGGACAAGGGTCACCCAGCTGAAGAGCAGCAGTAGCCCCACAGATAGGCCTGTCAGCAAGGGGCCTGACCTTCTCTGGATGCCCATGAGAGTTCACTACCACCTCTGTCCTGGTCCTGGGAACCCCAACATCTCTCTTTCTAGGCCGTGACTGCAGACAATAAGGAAATAAAAGTCAAAGCCCCAAGGCCCTTGGGCACCATTAATACGAGCCTGAAGCTTCTCTATCACAGGCTTTTAGAGAGAGATGACAGGGACTGGGTTTCTGTCTCCTGTTGGAAAACGTGGGGCCTGCATTGCCAAACTGCTGAAGGAGAGAAGGCTCAAAGGACTAGAGGACAGAATGAGGGATGAGAGAGCAGCTGAGCCATTAGTATGAAGAACAAACAAGCATTTACAGCCAAATATGTTTCTACCCATTCTCCAACTTCCAGGCTGCCATGGAAGCTCTGGGAATTCTGACCCTCCTATTTCAGGTCCCAGAGACCTCAGTTCCAGCATGTGGGGCTTCCCTCCCTAACCTCTGCTACGTGGCAACCACCAAGACTAGCTGAAAACCAAGGGTGACTCCTTTCATTAGCCTTTCCCCTGAGCCTTATCTGCCCCAGCTACCAGCCAGAACACAAAAGCTACATGTCTGATTAGAGTATACTTAGCTAATAGGGAACCCCCTCTCACAGAGAAGTTCTATGGGGATCACCAGGTCTCTCTTACCCCTCAGCTGCCCCTAAGGCAGGGAATTTCTCCAGAAGGCCACCAGCCAGCAGAATTAAGTGTTATTCCAGTGCCTACCCAGGCCTGACAACATCATGCTCCCAGGACAGCAGTGACAACACTCATCACCCCAGGGGCCCACAGAAGATGCCTAGAGACTGAAATAGGAGCTCTCATAGCATAAGAAGACAAGGCAAATTTCATCTGCAACACTGAGGACAAACAAAGGCAGTTCCTGCAGAAACGTCACAGCTACCTGGGAGCCTAAGTCTGAAGCAATTAGGCAGGGCTCCCAGGGAAGGCTCTGATTTTTCAGGTCAGGCCCTAGGGTCTCCTGGAGGGTCCAAAGGTAGACTCCCCTGCCCACAGAACCTGGCCCATCCCTACAGGGAGAACTATTTTTAGAACACTTGGAGAATTTTCAGAGCTTTTACAGGTTGAAGATGGTTCTTGGGGGGAGCTTCTGGGAGAAGCTGTCTCTGACTCTGAGGGTGTGGGGATTGTTCTTTCTTCCCGCTCCCATAGTCCCCTGAGCCTTGGCCACCCTGGATTCAGAGCACTGTGAGGCCACTGCCTTATTTCTTGTCTGTCTTCCTCTTTTCCACAGACTGTGGGCTCCCAAAGAGCCAGGCTTATGTTCTTCTTGCACCCCCAACAGAGCACACTGAGCTGGGGGCTGCGATGCTGAAGGCAGCTGTCCACATCACTTGCTCTCTGCGCGGGCCGGTCAGCTCCAGAGGAATTCATCTGGGGCAGGCCCAACTCGGCCCGCTGAATTAGCCTCCACGATCCCCGGGCCTCCCCGGCGCCAGGGGGCGCTGTAAACGTTCCGTCCCTGCCCCTGCGGCCGCAGTCGTCGGCCCCATCCGCGCGATGGGCTCTGAGGCGGCGCAGCTGCTGGAGGCTGCCGACTTCGCGGCTCGCAAGCACCGGCAGCAGCGGCGGAAGGACCCCGAGGGGACCCCCTACATCAACCACCCCATCGGTGGGCGCGTCGGCCGCGGAGCGCCGGCTGCGGCACCTGGGTGGTGGGGACTGGGAAGGAAACGTGGGGGGCGTGCACCTCATTGAGCACCTGTTTTGTCCCAAGCTTAGTGCGATATACCGTTTAAGCCTCATAACAATTGGAACGGTAGGCATGATCGTTCCCTTTGTCGGTTGGCTCCCAGAGGGTAAGGTACTTGACCAAGGTCACCCAGCTAGTCAGAGTCCACAAGGGGCCACATCTGGCTCTCCAAAACCCACAACACACCGCCTTGGGACTACCTCCGACCTGACTTCCTGCTTTGCCCCTCCCCGTCAGGTGTGGCACGGATCCTGACCCACGAGGCGGGAATCACTGACATTGTGGTGTTACAGGTAACTTTCCCCCTTCTCTGCCAGGAGCCTGGGATGGGGATTAGGGGCCCCATTCAGCAATGGGCAACCCTTGGCTGACATCTCAGGGCTGAGTGGGAACTTGTCCCCAGGCGGCCCTGCTCCATGACACGGTGGAGGACACAGACACCACCCTGGATGAGGTGGAGCTACACTTTGGGGCACAAGTGCGGCGCCTGGTGGAGGAGGTAACAGATGACAAGACTCTGCCCAAGCTGGAGAGAAAGAGGCTGCAGGTGGAGCAAGCGCCCCACAGTAGCCCCGGGGCCAAACTGGTGAAGCTGGCAGACAAGCTGTACAATCTGAGGGACCTGAATCGCTGCACCCCAGAGGGTACGCTTTCGTATGGGCTGTAAGGGAAAAGGGAGGGGGATGCCGCCTTCTGAAGACACATGTTGGTCAGTTCCCCTGAAAAACCCTGGGCATTCTTAATTCCCAAATTAATCCTACTGGACCACTCTTTGATCTTCTTTCATACAGTAAAAATACAATAGCTGGGCCAAGGGGAAGTTTTCAGGACAGCTCATTCCATCAGGAACTCATGGCCTTGAACCAAGCTTGCCAGGAAGTGGGGAAAAGGCAGTGCTTTCCTTGACATCACGCTAGCAAGTTTCTGTCGACTCTTATGCAGGATGGTCAGAACATCGAGTCCAGGAATACTTCGAGTGGGCAGCGCAGGTGGTGAAGGGGCTTCAGGGAACAAACCGGCAACTGGAAGAGGCTCTAAAGCATCTGTTCAAGCAGCGGGGGCTGACAATCTGATCAGTGCTTGAAGCTATCCAGAGGCACAACTCCAGCCTCGTTCAGGCCGGACAGGATTCATACGCCATCTTTTCTGTGTCTCCTGAGCTCCCTCCATCCTTCCCAGATATTAGAGGCCAAAAAAAGACTTGCATTTTTTCTCAGTCTGAAGGTCTCCTGCTAACTAAGCTGAGCCCCGCGTGGTGGGAATCAGATGTACCCATCCATTTCTGATGCACTCACCGCCTCTCCCCAAGTCTTGGGTCTGTTTGCTATTTTGCATGGTGGGATCTCTGGCCCCTCAGGGACTTGAGATTATTTAAGTACTAGTTCCTAACACGTTCTGGAAAATAAAAATAACTCTGGGTTAAGGTTTAAGCTGCTGCTGCTCCTTCTCCAGCCTCCGACTGGTGGGCTGCATATCTTTCCTTCAGCAAAGCAGGACTAATTGTGTGTCCCGGAGTCACCTCCCTCAGGTTGCGGGCCTCAACCCCTCCGAACCTGGCTTCCTTGTCAGTGACATGGGTTGTGTAATTATCAGGTTAGACTGTGACGTGCCTGATGGAGCCTGACACATAGGTGCTCAAGAAATGGTAGCAGCCTTTCCCGTTAAGAAAGTTGGAAGGGGGCCAGGCGCGGTGTCTCTCGCCTGTAATCCCAGCACTCTGGGAGACCGAGGCGGGCGGATCACTTGAGGTCAGGAGTTCAAGACCAGCCTGGCCAGCATGGCGAGGCCCCGTCTCTACTAAAAATACAAAAAAAAATTAGCCGGGCGCAGTGGCTCGCGCCTGTAATCCCAGCTACTCAGGAGGCTGAGGCAGGAGACTCGCTTGAACCCGGGAGGCGGAGTTTGTACTGAGCCGAGATCGCGCCACTGCACTCCAGCTTGGGTGACACAGCGAGACTCCGTCTCAAAAATGAAAAAAGAAAAGACGTATCGGAAGGGAGTGCCGCCCGCTTACTGACAACCACTGCTGGGCACCGGAGAGACCCCAGCAGCAACATGATTGGGCCGGTGGGGGATTCCGGTTCCCCAGTACCTCAAGCCGCGCGGGAAACTCGGTGACTCGCAATCCCCTCGCCCTTCCGCATTGCGGGTTACTTCGGTTGTTAAGTGACAGGGACTTCCGGGAAGGCCCGGAAGTGGCCCGGGGCTGTCCGACCCCGGGAGCCCGGCGGTCGGCGTAGGGGAGGCGGTGGAACTTTGCTCGGTGGCCATGGGGAGGGATTGCCCGGTGGTGGTTTTTCAGTCGTTGCTGAGCAGCTGAGGTTTATTTTTATGTATTTTATTCTGCATCCAGTCATCCATTAAAGCCAAAGTTTATTAAGTTGTCTGGAAAAGCGATCATCTTGGGTACGAGGAAATTGTTAGGTCAAAGCTGTTCGACTACGATAGTTGTTTGCCCAAGTGAAGGCCCCAGCGGAGGGCTCTGCGAAAAAGTAGGTGAAAGGCAACCAAAAAAGCCGAATTAAAAGAAAACAAATGAACAAAGTTCAGAGTAATCCCCAGGGTATGGTACATTTTGGAGAACTTTGAACTTAATTTTTTTAAATAGTTTTGCGGGAGTAAGATAACGAGATTTTTTTAAGAAAAGATGACTTTGTTGTAGTCCACTTTATATATTTTGTTGCCTGTGTTTTTAGTGTCATATCTAAGAAATCGTTGCCAAATCTAATGCCATGAAGCTTTTCCTGTTTTCTTCTAGGAGCTTTCGTTTTAGCTTTTTTTTTTGAGACGGAGTTTCACTCTTGTTGCCCAGGCTGGAGTGCAATGGTGCCATCTCTGCTCACCATAACCTCCGCTTCCCGGGTTCAAGCTATTCTCCTGCCTCAGTCTCCCGAGTAGCTGGGATAACAGGCGTGCGCCACCACGCATGGCTAATTGTTGTATTTTTAGTAGTGACGGGATTTATCCTTGCTGCCCAGGCTGGTCTTTAACTCCTGACTTCAGGTGATCCACCCGCCTTGGCCTCCCAAAGTTATCGTTTTAGCTCTTACAAGTAAAGTTTTTGATCCATTTTGGGTTAAATTTCTTTTTAAATCAATTTAATTTGGTATAAGGTATACATGATGTTATGAGGCTACATACAGGTAGTAAAAAGGTTACTATAGTGAAGCAAATTAACACATCCATCATTTCACGTAGTTACCCAATTTTTTGTTGTTTTTGTGGCAAGAACATTTTGGGTTAATTTTTGTATATGGTGTAATTTTTTTGTATATACACCATATACAAAATATATGATGTATGGTTTTGCTTGTGGATGTCCAGTTTTCCTAGCACCATTTGATGCAAGGTCTGTCCTCTTAGTACCTGTTTTTGGATTTTTTTATTTTTTATTTTTTAGTAGAGATGGCGTTCCACTAAGTTGGCCACACTGGTCTCGAACTCCTGACCTCAGGTGATCTGCCCACCTCAGCCTCCCAAAGTGCTGGGATTACAGGCGTGAGCCACTGTGCCCAGCCTTGAATAACTCTTCACAATATTGCTTTCTAGAATTTTAGTTCCTGCCTCTTTTTAAACTATAAACTAGTATTACATTTATAGCCAGTATTTAGGTGTACCCTCCCTCTCATTAGTTTATGCCCCTAGACAAATTCTCTTTTTGCTTAAGTACACCTACTTTCTTCCACTAAAGTTTTGTACATTGCAAACTGTTGAGTCTTTGCATGTCTGAAAATGTCTTCATTTCCCCCGTGCTCTTGAATGGTGTAGCTGATAGCAAATTCAAGGCTGAGTTTTCTCTAGGTTTGAATGGACTCCAGGTGTCTACTGTAGCTAACTAGATGTCTGCTATCACTGTGATTGTCTTTCCTTTGTAAGACTTTTCTATTTTTTTTTTTTTGAACAGCATCTCCAATTTGCATTCATAAAATTATTAATCCAAATTGCGAAAGTAGACTTTTACAGAGTCACAGGTCAGTAACAAAACAGGAAATGAAATGTTCCAGAGCCTTTTTTTTTTTTTAAGATGGATTCTCGCTCTGTCACCCAGGCTGGAGTACAGTGGCGCAATCTCGGCTCACTGCAACCTCTGCCTCCTGGGTTCAAGCGATTCTTATGCCACAGCCTCCCTAGTAGCTGGGATTACAGATGTGTGCCACCACGCCCGGCTAATTTTTGTATTTCTAGTAGAGACAGGGTTTCACCATGCTGGCCAGGCTGGTCTCAAACTCCTGACCTCAAGTTATCCGCCTGCCTTGGCCTCCCAAAGTGCTGGGATTACAGGCATGAAGCCATCGTGCCCGGCCTCCAGAGACATTTTGATAAGTTCCAAAGAAACACACTAGGCAGGCTGGGTGCAGAGGCTCACGCCTGTAATCCCAGCAATTTGGGAGGCCCAGGCGGGTGGATCACGAAGTCAGGAGATCGAGACCATCCTGGCTAACATGGTGAAACCCCGTCTCTACTAAAAATACAAAAAAATTAGCCGGGCATGGTGGCGGGCACCTGTAGTCCCAGCTACTCGGGAGGCTGAGGCAGGAGAATCACTTGAACCCAGGAGGCGGAGGTTGCAGTGAGCCAAGGTCATGCCACTGCACTCCAGCCTGGGAGACAGAGCAAGACTCCGTCTCAAAAAAAAAAAAAAAAAAAAAGGCCAGTGTGGTGGCTCACGCCTGTAATCCCAACACTTTGGGAGGCCGAGGCGGGTGGATCATGAGGTCAGGAGATCAAGACCATCCTGGCTAACACGGTGAAACCCTGTCTCTACTAAAACTACAAAAAATTAGCCAGGCGTGGTGGCGGGCGCCTTTAGTCCCAGCTACTTGGGAGGCTGAGGCAGGAGAATCACTTGAACCTGGGAGGCAGAGGTTGCAGTGAGCCGAGATCACGCCACTGCACTCCAGCTTGGGCGACAGAGCTAGACTCCGTCTCAAAAAAAAAAAAAAAAAAAAAAAAGCTAGGCTAAAAATCTACAGTTAAACCATGGTTGTACAACAGGTTATATTCATTCCTGCAGTTTCTCAATAAGTTCTTATATTTGCCTTTCTCTTTTGAGAGTGAATCCCACTCACTCTATTGCCAAGGCTGGAGTGCAGTGGCATGATCTCAGCTAACTGCAACCTCCACCTCCCTGGTTTAAGCTATTCTTCTGCCTCAGCCTCCTGAGTAGCTTTGACTACAGGCGCATGCCACCAGCCCAGCTAATTTTTGTATTTTTAGTACAGACAGGGTTTTGCCATGTGGGCCAGGCCGATCTCAAACTCCTGACCTCAGGTGATCCACCCACCTTGGCCTCCCAAAGTGCTGGAATTACAGGCGTGAGCCACCGTGCCTGGCCTTTAGGTTTTATCTTACGTAATTTGCAATATATCTACACGAGGTTTTTTAAATTGTTTTAATTTTTTTGAGACGGAGTCGTGCTCTGTCGCTCAGGATGAAGTGCAGTGGCATGATCTTGGCTATTTGCAACCTCCATCTCCCAGGTTCAAGCGATTCTTCTGCCTCAGCCTTCCAAGTAGCTGGGATTACAGGCTATAGGCACACACCAGCATGCCCCGCTACATTTTGATTTTTCTGGTTTTTGGGTTTTTTTGTATTTTTAGTAGAGACAGGGTTTCACCACGTTGGCCAGGCTAGTCTCAAACTCCTGACCTCAAGTGATCTGCCCACGTTGGCCTCCCAAAGTACTGGGATTATAGACATGAGCCACTGCACCTGGCCTGTTTATTTATTTATTTGTTTGTTTGTTGTTGTTGTTGTTGTTTTGAGACGGAGTCTCACTCTGTCGCCCAGGCTGGAGTGCAGTGGCGCGATCTCGGCTCACTAAAACCTCTGCCTCCGGGTTCATGCCATTCTCCTGCCTCAGCCTCCCAAGTAGCTGAGACTACAGGCGCCCGCCACCATGCCCGGCTAATTTTTTGTACTTTTAGTAGAGACAAGGTTTCACCATGTTAGCCAGGATGGTCTCGATCTCCTGACCCCATGATCCGCCCGCCTCGGCCTCCCAAAGTGCTGGGATTACAGGGGTGAGCCACCGCGCCCAGCTATCTATTTTTTTTGAGATGGAGTCTTGCTCTGTCACCCAGGCTGGAGTGCAGTGGTGCGATCTCGGCTCACTGCAACCTCTGCCTCCTGGGTTCTCGCCATTCTCCTGCCTCAGCCTCCTGAGTAGCTGGGACTACAGGCGCCTGCCACCTGGCCCAGCTAATTTTTTTGTATTTTTTTAGTAGTGACGGGATCTCACCATGTTAGCCAGGATGGTCTCGATCTCCTGACCTCATGTTCCACCCGCCTCGGCCTCCCAAAGTGCTGGGATTACAGGCATGAGCCACCGCACCCGGCCTGGCCTTTTTTTTTAAATGTACCTTTCTTGGAACTTAATGAGCTCTTTGATTCTGAGATCTCACATCTTTCTTCAGTTCTGAAAAATTCACCGTCTTTGTTTTCTCATCCCTGTATTCTCACTAGTCTTTTTTTCTAAAACTGCTATGAAACATTATGCCAAAGCTTCTCAGTCTATCCTCCATCTGTCTTAGCTTCTTTTTTATATTTCTTTTATCACTGTGGTGCATTCTGGGTGATTCCTCAGTTGTTTTCCAGACCTGCTAAATTTTTATGTCATCTGCCTCCAGTCTAGGGCTTATACCATACATAGAGTATATTTCAATAATTGTATTTTTACATTTCCAGCATGTATAATTTGTAAAATCTTATTTGCTTCTTTTCAGTCAGTTTCTCATTGCAAGACTGAATATCTTTAGCTCTTTGGTGATTGCACATATATATTTTTTAAAGTATTTTTTTAGATTGCTTGCATGTCATCCTGTTTTTGTTTGCAACTTACATTTTTCCTGCCTGTGTACCTCTCAGAGTCTGGTTCTGGTCCCTTGACGTTCCTAGGTTACACTTGGTTACCTGTCCCACGTGGACTTTGAAGTCCCAGCACCTACCATCCTGAACTAGTCTCTACTTCTCTCAAGCTGTATAGCCTCAGCCTCTGCTAATGGCTGTATTATTCTCTCCATTCTTTGTCAAAGAAGATTTCCTTTATTTTGAGTTTGACAGTTTTTGCTTTCTTTTTTTTTTTTTTTTTTTTTTTTTTGAGATGGAGTCTTGCTCTGTTGCCCAGGCTGGAGTGCAATGGCAAGATCTCAGCTCACTGCAACCTCTGCCTCCTGGGTTCAAGTGATTCTCGTGCCTCAGCCTCCCAAGTAGCTGGGATTACAGGCGCCCACCACCACACCCGGCTAATTTTTGTATTTTTTAGTAGAGATGGGGTTTCGCCATGGTGGTCTGGCTGGTCTGGAACTCCTGACCTCAGGTGATCTGCCTGCCTCGGCCTCCCAAAGTGCTGGGCTGTGCCCGGCCTGTTTTTACATTTTTAGTATTTATTTAGCAATCTCTGGCATTAGGAGTTGAGAGGGCAGAATTATAGGTGTGCTTGCGCCTCTAGTTGGAATGCAAGTCTCTAGGTATGTTAGTCTGTGCTGTTATGACAAAAATACCTGAGACTGGGTAATTTATAAAGAACAGAAATTCGTTTTCTCACAGTTCTAGAAGCAGGAAGTCCAAGATGAAGGTGCTGGCAGGTTCGGTGTCTAGCGAGGGCTGCTTTTTGCTTCCAAGGTGGTCACTGCATCCTCACACAGTAAAAAAGGCAGGCTGTGTGAAGCCTCTTTCATTAGGGCCTTAATCCTATTCACGAGGGAGAAGCTCTCATGACCTAATCACCTTCTAAAGGCCCCACCTCTTAATATGCTGCATTGGAGGTTAAGTTTCAGTATGAATTTGAGAGGGACACAAATATTCAAACTTGCGGGAGGCATGCTGACTGGGAAACCCCAGTCCTTCCTACTCCACTGAGGGGCCTTCTCTAGGTCTCCACACTCAATGCTGTGTCTCAAATCTTCAACTCTGTCACATTCAGAATGACAGAGTCCGCATCTCCAACCCCACTTTGGTTTCCTGTGCCCAGACTACCTAACTACATGGATTTTTAGTTCAGGTTTATTCTCAACTAGGGAGGTCCAAAGTCAGGAGCCAGAATGTCAGGAGTCAGGAGCCAACTGCAGACCCAGCTGGTCCTGGGTACTGTTACCATCTGAATTGATTTCTCACTGACCCTAAGTAAAATTGAGGGTTGTTGCGAAGGATCTGGTCTCTGTCTTATCTCTTCTCACTATGAGAATGAGAATGAGAATGAGCCCTTGAAGTGTTTGTCCTTCACACACTTTTTTGTTAGGGAAGAACAAAGATTTTGTTCAGAGATCTCTATTGTGGATGGTAAGCCTCATTCCCACCATCCTAGACTGATTTTCCCCCTCCGTGAGTGCACAGATGCCCCAGTGACAGAGCAAGGTAAGCAAGTCAGGTTCAGGTCAAATTAAAGATGCTGCTCTCTCTGCACAAGTGGTCGAGGTTTTATGTTTTACCTACCCTGAGGCAAGCCATATGAGGACACTGTCTGGGCTGGCTCGCCCTGCATGGGAGGACCAGCTCTTAAGTGGTTCAACTGGAGCCTTTCTCTCTGTGGTTCCAACTGGCCATACAGCCCTTCCTTCTTCATGAAAGCTGGATGGTTCCAAGTAAATGTAGGAATAGAATCCGATCCGTCTCCAGTGGTTGAAATGGCTTCTGTCATGTCCTGGTTCATTTTGATGGTAACCCTCAGAACTGTGAGGCTGGCCGGGCGCAGTGGCTCACGCCTGTAATCCCAGCACTTTGGGAGGCCGAGACAGGCGGATCACTTGAGGTCAGGAGTTCAAGACCAGTCTGGCCAACATGGTGAAAACCTGTCTCTACTAAAAATACAAAAATTAGCCAGGCATGGTGGTGCACGCCTATAGTCCCAGCTACTTGGGAGGCTGAGGCATGAGAATTGCTTGAACCCAGGAGGCGGAGGTTGCAGTGAGCCGAGATTGTGCCACTGCACTCTATCCTGGGCAACAAGGCAAGACTCTGTCTCAAAAAAAAAAAAAACAAACAAACAAACCGTGAGGCCTCAGTACCACAGCTCTGTGGTAAAGGGTTGCTGCTTGCTTTAAAAGTTGGGCCATTTCCAAATTATGCATGCACAAGAATCACCTGGGAGCTTGTTAAAAATGCAAATTATTTGGCCTCTACTCCCAGAAACCAGTTCAAAGGTTGTACCCAGGAATCTGCCTTTATCCCCCTGTGCACTGAAGTCAGCTTTTGTTTCTTGCTCCTATCTCCTATGACACAGCAGTCTCAGGGCAGCTGTGGCTCTGCCCTACGCATCTGCACTGCAGCCTCCAGGCTGAAGAAGCCCTAGTCAGAACAGAAACCTGTACTTTCAATGGCAGTTCTGGTGATTCTGAATCACACCTTGAGCCATGCTGCCTTAAGTCATTTTATGTTTTTTTTTTTTGTTTTTTTGTTTTTGAGACAGAGTCTCGCTCTGTCACCCAGGCTGGAGTACAATGGCGCAATCTTGGCTCACAGCAACCTCTGCCTCCTAGGTTCAAGTGATTCTCCTGCCTCAGCCTACCGAGTAGCTGGGATTACAGGCACACACCACCACGCCCGGCTCATTTTTGTATTTTTTTGGTAGAGATGGGGTTTCGCCATGTTGTCCAGGCTGGTCTCCAACTCCTGAGCTCAGGTGGTCCACCCACCTTGGCCTCCCAAGGTGCTGGGATTACAGTCATGAGCCACCGTGCCCGGACTGCCTTAAGTCATTTTAAAGGCTTAAGTAAATAGAATTCAGCATTCGTTTCTGTCAGACAAATAATTTCATTGCACATCTAAGACTTCCAAAGATAATATCCTTTATTCTGCTCATTTTCTAGGCGTTCACAGATTCCCCTCCTATTGTTTGATTACAAATTCTACTAGCAAATGACACCTGCCACAGTGGAACTGCTTAGCATCCTTTACTAGTAGGATTATAGCTCACATTTGTGGAGCTCTCGTATATACCAGGCACCATGCTAAGCAGTTCACATTGATAATCCTATTTCTTCTGCTATGATATAAATGGGGTTCCACTGTGTGGCCTAATACGGGCAGCAACAACTCTGATGACCTGGAAGAACTCAGCCCTCTCACTCTTGTCTTTAGGTGGCAGCTTGGCAGGCCCCAGTGACTTTCTCTAAGGACCCTGAAGCAAGCTTTTCTCCTAAAGTAATTGTACTCGTTGATTTTTTTATGTGCTGCAAATATTTTCTTCCATATCTGTCATTTGTGTTTTAACCTTGATGTTTTCCATCACACAGAGACTTTCGATATTTTTTGGTTGCGAAATCTGCTTATCTTTTCCCTTATTATATCTTTTAAGTCTCATGTTAAAGTTTAGAAAAGACCGTCCCACACCAGAGGTATAAAAATTTTTGAGTAATTTTGTGGTATATCTTCCCTCTGGAACTAATTTGTATGGACACTGTGAGGTAGAGATCTAACTTAGTGGTTTTTTTTTTGGCTGTGTCACCCAGGCTGGAGTGCAGTGGCATGGTGGCATGATCTAAGCTCACTGCAACCTCCGCCTCCCAGGTTGATGTGATTCTCCTGCCTCAGCCTCCTAAGTAACTGGGATTACAGGCGCGCGCCACCATTCCTGGCTAGTTTTTGTATTTTTAGTAGACACAGGGTTTCGCCATCTTGGCCAGGCTGGTCTCGAACTCCTGACCTCAAGTGATCCACCCACCTTGGCCTCCCAAAGTGCCGGGATTACAGGCGTGAGCCATCGCACCCAGCTGAGATCTAGCTTTGATAGCTAGTTGTCTAAAAGTGCTGTTTATTAAATAATCCACCTTTTTCCCCACTTAAAACATCCCTCTTACCATATACTAAATTCCTGTAGCCCTGGGTCTGTTTCTGGACTCTCCCGTCTGTCTGACCCCCTCCAGGTCACACTGAGTGAGGTAATGGTGGCGTGAGAATCCTCTGGGAATCTGGCAGGATCACCCCCGAGCAGTCCACCCCCCAACTCATTATCATCGTTCAGAGTGGTCTTAGTGTTCTCACACATTCACTCTCCCAAATGCACTTTAGAACTGTCAATTCCAAAGTTTCAATCTCATTGGAATTACACTGAATTTATCAGCTGATTTGGGGAAAACCAGTATGTGGACAGGAACATGATGTGTATCATTGGGTTGACTTACAGAATACTCTTAACAGGTCTTCAGTTGATTCTTAGGTTTTACAGGTAGGCAGTTTTATTGTCTACAAATAATGACAATTATAATTCTTCCTTATGTTCCTCATCTGGCTTGTTGCAGGGGTTAGTAGTGCCGGGACACTGCTGAATAATAGCTTGCCCTTGGCTAGTTTCTGACTTTAATGGGAATGCCTGTGGCGTCTGACTCTTTAGAATGCCATCACTGTTGGTTTCTGAAACAGACCTTTATCTAGATTAGGGTGTTTCTTTCCAGACTTAATTTACTAAGAGTTTTAATAAGGGATGGATTTTAAATCTTACGAAATACCTTTTCAGCATCTATAGAGCTATCATAAATTCTTCCCTATTAATTGAAGCTGAAATGAAGGCTCCTGCACAGCCATACTGCCTCCTCATATACTCTACATGCCCCTAGTCCCCTGTGCCAGGAACTGAATACCTCTGCAGATAGACTAAAGGTGAGGCTTCAAGGTCTGCCTGCTAGGCGTGGTGCTGAACGCCTTCTCAAGCTGCCCAAGCACATGGAGTCTTGGAGGCTTTCCTTTCCAGAGAAAGAAAGTAGGACCAATCCCCACTCCCTGCCATAATAAGAAAGAGCCCTTGGGGACAGCAGCATACAGAGCACAGAAGCCAAAGAGAATTCAGGCAGGGTGAAGGACCCCACACCCCTGCCACCATCCCACAAATCAGTACATAGGCCAAGTGCCCAGTTTGCCAGGGGTCTTGCTACCTGAAGTGACCTATGATCTCTGGCCATGACAATCTCTAGCGAGTCCTTCCTGCCATTCTGCAGCCTGTTAGCCAATGCATGCAGGCCAGGCGGCACTTACTGCAAAGCCATCACAGAAAGCAGCGAGGCCTTCAGACTCCTAGGAGAAACAGTGATTCCTTCTACTGCTCCATCCCCACTGCTAACTCTGGGTCCCCACCCCTGTCCTCCCAGAGTCACTCTGATCCTGCTCATCACACCAGGACATGGAGTCTCTACATAACCACAGGATTCCCCTAGAGCCTGCTGTTGCCACAGTGACCCTGATGCTGGGCTGTTACCCACTTAGCCTCCCTTACCTCTTCTGTCTGCTTCCACCACTTCTATATCCCTGTTTGGAAAAAGGATGGGTGCCTGAGCCTGTGCCCAGTTGGGTGTCCACTCACAACCCAAAGCAGAGCCTGGCACTGCCCACTCTGACCAAGGGCCTTCTCTCCCTGATCTCACTGGCGTCTGCCCTATTTACCCATCACTGGGTTTGTGGGTTGCGCCGAAAACACAGCAGCAGCAATAAACAGAAAATGAGGGCAGAGCCCAGTGTGTCACAGTTCTGGGAGGCAGATCGGGATGGGATACCCGTGTGGCTTGTCCAATGATCTTCATGTTAAGAGGCAGTCTCTGTGAATGAACTTTCTCTTCAGGCCACAAGAAGCCCTAACCCAAGCGGAGGCGAAAGGTAGCAATCTCCATGGGCTCCAAATAGACGTCAGTGCTGTTGGACGGGGAGGCCAGAGGGTACAGTAACGTCAAGGAGGTTGGCTGAAGGAATACCACATCCAGGCCATGGAAAAGGCTGCCCAGGGCTACCTGTGGAGAGCAGAGAAGGGGCAGGGTTGTGCTAGGTGCCGAGACACTAAAGAATGTGGCTGTTCATCTACAATTTGGTACCTCTTTAAGAATCTCAGCCAGGGGCAGTGGCTCACACCTGTAATCCCAGCACTTTGGGAGGCCAAGGCGGGTGGATCACCTGAGGTCAGGAGTTCGAGACCAGCCTGGCCAACATGGCGAAACCCCGTCTCTACTAACAATATAAAAATTAGCTGGGCGTGGGGGCAGGCGCCTGTAATCCCAGCTACTCGGGAGGCTGAGGCAGGAGGATCACTTGAACCAGGAGGCGGGGGTTGCAGTGAGCTGCGATCACGCCACTGCACTCCAGTTCCGGCTGGCCCCTCTCAGCAACACCATGCCTTCTTACACATGAGTGTGCATCCAGTCTCACGGGCTTGCTGAGATTTGCTCAACCCTAAAGCCTGCCTACAGATCTCTGGGTAAGAACCGTTCCACTGAGCTGTGAGCTCTGTGAAAACAGTGACCATGTCTTGGTTCACTTCTGAAACACTGGAGCCCAGCAGAGGACCTGGCACCCGGGGACATTTATCAGTGCCGGCTGATATGAGCTTACAAAGTAACAACAGGATGGGTTCTGGTTTTCTATTTCTGGTGTTTTCCACTTTGCTTGATAGAGGTCCCTGCTCAGGGAACAAAAGTTCTCAAGCGATCTACCTTGTCTGGAACTCCCCCTGCCAGGCCTCCGGAGCTCTGAAAACATGTCTACAGCTTCCCCCCTTCTCTCCAGAAAGCCCTGGAGTGACACTTTCTTCTCCCAGCCTGTCACCGAATCTCAGCCCAGTCTTACCAAGCTCATGCCTGCCATTCCTAGGTGCTCTGTTTCCCCACCCTACTCACCTTGCCTTGGCTTGTGGTGCAGTTGAAGCCCAAGTTCTTGGCCTCCAGGCCGCAGTCAAAACCCTTGCGGTGTAAGATGAGTGCGGTCTCCGCCGAGGGTAGGGTGTCCTCCTGGATGACAGACAGTGCCCAGGGAAGTGGGCGCAGGGCTTTCAGAGATCGGAGATGCAGCAGCGCCTCTGCCCAGAGGCAGTGCTGGCACAGGGAGGCGTGTGGGTAAGGAAAGGCCAAAACCTGGTCCTGGAGGTTTGGAGCCGAATACCTGCTAAGGGGTCTGGACCTCATCCTGGAGGCTAAGGAAGGAGCTGAGCAGGGAGGGACACCATCAGAACTCTGCTCTCAGCATGTCACGCTGAGGGACACTCACCTCAGCCTGGAGCGTACGTAGGTTGAGCAGGTGGAAGTCACAGGGCAGTGAGGAAGCCAGAGGATGAAATGAGCGCAGACCAGGGCCTGGGAGCTGCATCCTGGCTACAGGCAGAGCGAGCGCCGGGGCGTTCAGGTACATGGAGGTCAGGTGGCTGAGGAGGGATGGGTAGCTGGTAGAGTGGCTATCTTGGACCTGCAAAATTGACCCGAGATATTGGTGAGGGACCAAAGCCAGGCTGAGGGGAGAGGACGAGGCAGGATAAAAGCACACCCAGGTCAGTTGTTTTGGAAAGACCTTTCCTGGTGTGCCTGGACTCAAGGGCACGCCTGGCTCCAGGCGAGGTTCCGCTAACCCTTCAAGTGTGGACATTTGCCGTCTCCCCTAACGCAGAGGGCTACTTCACTAAGCTGTTTCTTCTCTACTTTTTAGTTCCTTGCTCACATAACACTATCATGAGCAACCCACTCCCATCAGCCATGTCTCCCCTCACACATGGATCCACAGTGCAGGGAGGATGGCAGCCAGGCAGACGCAGGCCTCACCATGGAGCACGGACCTCCAATCCAGAGTGCTCTGGGTAATCTGCGGCTTCACGAGCGATGCCACATCCACAGTGCCAGCCTGGCTCTCAGGCCCAGCGCGGCCGGGGCTCTGCCAGCAGGGCTACTCCTTAGCAGCTCACCTGGACGTCAGACTCACAGGCCTGGGCTGAATATTCTGGACTTCTGTCCCTGGCATCCCCCTTCTTCCAAGCGCCCAGCATCTCTCACTTCCCTCTGCATTCCCAGGTAATGCTAAACCCTCTTCCGTCGCACCTGGGCAGTGTCCTCATAGCCACCGGCAACTTCTCCAGCCTCTGGCCTAGTTCAAGCAGCCAGCATGTCCTGCCTGAACAGCCTCCCGCTGTCACCCTCCTCCAGTCTCCCTTCCCACAGATCCAACCTGCTCCGTACTGTCAGCGTGACATGCTGAGACCAGAGTTCTGACGGTGTCCCTCCTTGCTCAGCTCTTTCCTTAGCCTGGACCTTTCCTAGCCAGGATAAAGTCCAGATCCCTTAGCAGGCACTCAAGGTGCTCTGCCGTCTGCCCTGATCTCCCCCTAGCACTCTAGCCCAGCACCAGCCAAGAGGGCATTCTGCAAGGATGGAAATATCCGACACCACATGGTCTAATACGGCAGCCACTTAGCCACTTGAGTACTTGAAGTGTGGTCAGTAGGAATAAGAAAGCAAATTTTTTACTTGATTTAGTTGTAATTTAAATAGCCATATAGGGCTACTGGCCACCGTACTGGATAGCATAGCTCCAGCATAACTAAGGAACTCACTGCTATTCCCCAGCCTGTTGTCTTTCCTGCCTCCTATCCTGTGCCCTGGTTCATATCTTCAAATCACACCCCATTCATCAAAGCCACACCTGGGTGACACCTCCTTGACCTCGATCTCCTTAGCCCACATTATTACCTTGCTCCTCAGGATCAGTGAGACAAAGCCCTTTCTACCTTGCATTTTTACACACATGGCTTCTCTGCCACCCCTACTCACGAGTAAACTCCTGGGAGAGTCAGCACTGTCTGCACTTATGTCCCTCTGGGTCCTCACAGTAAAGCAGGTGCTCAATATCTATCTGATGCACGAGTGACTGAGTGGCGGGCTCTGTCACCTGGGCTCTGGCGCAGCTACACCTTGCTCGTACTAGTTCCCCGCTCCCAGAGCCGACCCTTACCTCTCGGTTACCGCTCCTGCTGCTGTGAAAGATCAAGCCCCTAAACATGGCTGCCAGTTTGGAGAAAAAGTCAGGCTGGTGGGGCAAAGAAAGCCATGAGATGAGCGGGGTTGGAGCACAGGCTTAGAGAATGCTGGGACAGGGCAGAGGAGGGCAGCACAGAGGAAAGTGGGAGACGAACATGAGGGGCACAGGTGACAGAGCGCTGCTGGGAGAGGAAGGTGCCAGGCTGCGTGAGATGGGACACAAAACGCCAGACTGCCTCCCCCCACCCCAGGAATTCAGCCCTACTCTCTCTCTCTTGCCCACCTCCAACTACGCTCCTCGAGCCCTAGGCTGGACCCCCCGGCCACCCCCAGGGACTAGCCAGACCTGGCTCCCTGGGCGTCAGCCCCAGATGTTACCTCACTGCCCACGGTTCGCCGCTCTAGCAGGAGGCGGAAACGGTTGCAGGTTCTCTTGTTGTCCTTGAGCCCTTGGCCTAGGCCCCGGTTGTCATCCTGCATCAGCCGCCGGTCCAAGATCACCTCCAGCTGGCCTGGGGAAGCAAACAGTGAGTGCTGGCCCGCCCCCACCCCCAAGCAGGCACTGACCTTTCAAAGGAGAATCCCAAGCCACAGGCCCTGACGGAAAAGCGCAGCTCGAGAGACAGAAGCTGAGTCACTCAGGAGAGGTCACGGGTTCCCACGGCTGGGAGGGAACCTGATGAGGGGCTCGTCCTGGGCCGTTATTTTGCAGATGAGGAAGCATGAGGTCCAGAAAGGGGAAGGCTGGCCCTGGCAGTTTACCCCCCACGCTCTGGGACTCAGGAGTAGGGAACGGGCCTAGGGGCCCAGGCAGGAAACCGAATCAGGACGGGTTACATACAACAAAATAAACCAGAAATGAAAAACTTAGATCAACAGCCATCGGTAGTGTTGCTGCACACCTCCGTAATCTGGGGCAGGTTTGCTCAGGTTGGGCAGGTTGTGACTAAAACACAGGCTCTCCTGCCCTTGTTCTACACTGGACAGCCAGACAGCCCCAGCAGGTCAGACTCAAGCTCTGACTGTCTGTGTGTTAAAAGTAGGGCTCTGGAAAGGACAGCCAGATGGCAAGTCAGGCAGAGGCTCATATTAAGTGTCATCTGGGTTGCCCTGGAAAAAAGATATGGCAAGTGACCACCTTTGCTCTGTTTTCTAGAGTATGCTTGGAGCAGGGGCTCGGTGCATGGCTGATGTGTTGGGGACAGAGGCCCCAGTGTGTGCAGGTGTTGGAGGTGGGTGCAGCTGTTCTTGTACAAGATCTCGAGGGAAACCACACCAGCTGCCCCTACATTCCACCGGGACAGATGGCCTTATTCTCCCTTTCACCTCTCCAGTCCTTACTGACTTGTGTAGTTGCTCAGTCTTTTAACCCAGAACAACCACAGAAAGATGTCTGAAAACCCTAAAACGGATCCCTTGTATAGAAGACAGTCATTTTTTCAAATACCATATCCCAGAGGGGGAGAGGAGAAGATCCAGTGAGGGATATTGGGCTGCAGTTAGGAGTCATGACACAGATGGACCAGGGGCTGCTCCTGGCAGAGAAAGGCACACTCCTCCCAGCAGGGAGTCAGGCCCCCGAACTTGCCAGCCATTGGGCCACGCCTAGCCTTGACTGGGTGCTCTCGGCTCAGCCCTTCACAAGGGCTCTTCCCAGAGACAGATCTCAAGGGCCTCAGATGCCACCAAGTGCAAACTGTTCGTTTTGCCCTGAGGATATGGGGGCCACACAGAGCTGCCAGCGTGACCAGCTACCCGGGTCTGACTCCAGGCCAGTGCTCCCCATGCCCGTCTTGATTCTTAAGAACGTCAGTCTTGGCCGGGCGTGTTGGCTCACACCTATAATCCCAGCACTTTGGGAGACCGAGGCAGGCAGATCACAAGGTCAGGAGTTCCAGACCAGCCTGGCCAACATGGTGAAACCCCATCTCTACTAAAAATAGAAAAACTAGCTGCGCATGGTGGCGGGCGCCTGTAATCCCAGCTACTCAGGAGGCTGAAGCAAGAGAATCGCTTCAAATCGGAAGGCGGAGGTTGCAGTGAGCGGAGATTGCACCACTGCACTCCAGCCTGGGCGAAAGAGTGAAACTCCGTCTCAAAACAAAAAAACAAAAAAAAAGAACGTCAGTCTGTCTTTTAATGATCACTGGAAGGAAAACAGTATGTAATTTTCTCATTTCCTTAATATTTCATAACACTGAGTGCACTTTACAAGCTGTCCCTACTCTCAGCCCCGCCCAGAAGAGGGTTGCACACCTCAGCTGAGAACCACTGTTCAATACCCTGATGCTTCTTGCCTTTTTTTTCAGACTGGGTCTTGCTCTGTCACCAGGCTGTAGTGCAGTGGCACAGTCTTGGCTTACTGCAGCCTCCAGCTCCTGGGCTCAAGCAATCCTCCCATCTCAGTCTCCTGAGTAGCTGGGACTATAGGCACGTGCCACCAAATCCAGCTAATTTTTAAATCTTTTTGTAGAGCCTGGGTCTCGCTTTGTTGCCCAGGCTGGTCTCAAACTCCTGGCCTTCTGCCTTGGCCTCCCAACAGTGCTGGGATTACAGGAGTGAACCACTGTGCCTAGCTTTGCTTTTTGACATTTTTTTTCCTTTCTTTGGCCCCAAGAGTTGTAACCCTGACGGTTCTTCAGGGCATCCAGTAGGACACTCCACCCAGTTGCCTACACTGCTGCCTCCACCAGGGGATGGGGACAGCAGATGCCTGCCTCCTGTGCCAAGAGCTCTGAATGGCTTGCCCCCTCTCCAAGCATGGAGGTGATGCAGTCCAGAAAGAGGCAAGGGAGGCCAACAGAGCGGGGAGCCCTTGAGGGTGGGGACGGGCTTCTTTTTGTCTGATACCCTCTGCAGAACTCCTGGGCCCTACTCACCATCTTTGAGGCTAGAGACACCCAGGGCCTGGGCAGTGTGCAGCGTGAGGCGCTTCTGTGCGTCCTGGATATAGGCCATGACTGGCATGGGGTAGAAGTTGGCCTGGAGGGGGAGCTTCTTCAGATACCGTCGGGGCTGCACCTGTGGGGGCAAGGCCAGCAGATCAAGGGCACCCGGGCACCATGTGGGCCCAAGCGGTCCCCAGACTGAAGGAGTCCCCGATAACTCTTCGCCTCTCATTCATCTTTCTCCATCAGGGCAGATCATCCCCCAGGGCCTGTGACAGGGGCAAAAGCAGAGTCCAAGTTCTACTCTGTGGGGTCTCCGAGACCCAGGCCCAGGAGTCACCTGAAAGCCATTGAGGTCTGTGAAGAAGATACCCTGGCTGTCGATGTCTGTATGGATGTGCAGGGCCAGCTCCTTGTTGACGTAGTCCCGGATGTCCACCAGGGATGATATGTCCAGAGACAGCCCCTCCACCCCTGGGTACAGGAACAAAGTGGGGGCATGGACAGGTGTGAGGCTGAAGCACAGCTAAGAGGCTGGGCTGGGGGATCAGAGCCGAGCTGGGGAGAGGCTCTGTCCAACCTCCCAAGAAATCCCCAGGGCATTTCTGGATGACTTTTTCTCCAAGAGAATGGAGCATCCCTGTCTCAAATGATACGGAACAGAGGTATGAACAGAGAAGCAGCAGAAGGAAGAATACGCCACAGTTGTGGAGCCCACACCTCCTTCCAGACCCTTCCTCATATGCAGGGCTCACCTGGCAGATTGTAAAGCCGGACCGCCTGGTGAATGTGCTCATAGTACGCAACCACCTCTGAGAAGAAAGGGCCTTCAGTGACACGCAGCACGGGGGGCTCCTTGGGGACGTAGGGCTAGAGAAAGAGCAGATTGCTGTTGAAACTACAGCACAGAGGGCAAAGCAGGAAGGTGCCAGCCCAGGGCTGGGCAAGAGAGCACCTATTCCCAGACACCCCTGGGCTGAACAGGAAAGACAAGGCCCCTGGCAGGCAGCAATAAACCTGTGGGAAGGCCTGTGCCCCCTCCTGCCCTCCCTGCCAGGTTGTTCAAGGCATCTTTAGGATACCTTGGCCTCGCCATCGGGCAGGAAGAGGTAGGCTCCACTCTTGTCTTTGGACGTACGGGTGCCATAGACAAGGACCTGCATGTCCACCTGCTGCTCGTGCTCCTCATCCACCCTTCGGATGCTCTGCCAAAAAACACAGCCCTGACCCCTGGCCCCACACCAGCATGTCAGGCCTGCCTCCTGGGAGGACACGGAATAGCTTCCCCAAGGAGCCGTGCCCTGCTTCCCCATGCTGTCAGGCTGGAGCTGAGATGGCCCAGGCCCCGGTCCACTGTGGGTCAGGTGGCAGAATGCTCACAGGGCCGGGAGGCCGCTCTGCACAGTGCCACCACCACACACGCCCTACTCTGGCCCCTGGCCCTTCCCCACCACCCTGGCCTTTTACCTTGAGGAGCCCAGTAAGGCCTGAGAACCAGACCTGCATGTAGCGGTTGCTGAGGGCGAAGTCGCTGGTGCCAGAGTCAATGACACGGAGAGGAAACGCTTCGTGCCTGCTGACGGACAGCTGCCGGCCGTGCAGGTAGATGCGCACAGAGGAGGGCAGCGTGCGGTGCCCATCCAGGCCCAGCTGTAGCTGCAGCACGCCCAGGCCCAGGGCTGGCAGGCGGACAGGCACAGACACCTGTGGGCACAGGAGGGGTGAGGAAGTGGGGGCACGGCTTTCGCCACAGGGGTGCTGAGGCATCCGCTTACTAACAGAGGGCTTGAGCAAGCCCCTGCACCCGCTGGGCCTCTGCCCCTCCTCCAAAGTGGAGGTGATCTGATTTGCCCTTTCTTCCTCATCAGACTTTATGATTCTCAAGTGATATTTGAAAAAGTATGAAGCGGTAACAACACATTAAGCTTTCGATAAACATTGAATGACTGAATGATGGGGCATTATAACTGCTATTTTTACCATTACTATTACCATACCAACCTTCCCCTTCTTTTCAAGGACACGCTCAAATCCCAAGAGTGCCTGTCTTCTGGACAACCCCCTCCCCAGGACACTTGTCCTCAGCCTGGAGAGTAGCAGGGCCACAAGCAGGAGGGTGGGAGGCTGGCGTCGCCGGGCGGGGAGGGGCCCACGACGGGCAGAGGGCCAGGCCCACCTGACAAGCCCACACCTCACCTGGTAGACGTCAGGGACCGCCTCGGTGGCAGAGCTCCAGTGTGCGCTGATCTGCACGGCCAGGGGCTGACCCTCCTCCGAAAGGACACGCACGCGGGGAGAGTTGACCAGCAGGGACACCATGCTGAATCGCTCCTGTTCCAGTGGGTTGAATAGGACCACAAACCTGTGCGTAGAAGGTGGGCTGACCCAGGAGGCTGCTGCTTCCGACCAGGGCAAGCGCCCTGCACTGGTTCAGCACATGCTGGGGCAGAGGGGCCTGAGAGCCAGGGAATGGCTCTGCCTCTCTGCACATGGCGTAGTCCAGGTTACCTGGGCGAGGAATCCAGCTGGATCACCGTGCGCTCTGGGAGGGCGTCGTGACTTAAGCGAGTGTCATCCTGGAATTCAGTGAGCCGGAAGGGAAGAACCATCATGGGCTCAGCCTCCTCCCACCCCACCTGTCCCAGGTGTGGACCAGCGGCTGCACTGGGCACAGAACTCATCCGGATGGGGAAGGAAAAAGAGAAGCGGCACCCCCATCCAGCAGCTCTTGGGATGGGACCTGCACACACCAGAGGGTCCCCATGCAGACCCAGGAGGGGCTCACCACTTGGAGGAAGGGCGCCTCAGGGTCAAAGTGGTAGGTCTCCTTGTCCCCCAGCACCAGATAGTGGGCTGCATGAATGATGACCTGCTTCAGGTTGACAAGGGAGCGCAGAAGCCTGTGGGTGGCGCAGGAGAGGGAAGGAGAGAAGATGACCATAGGGAAGCTGTCTGCCTTGTCAGCAGGACAAGCCCTAGGCCGGCCTACCCCCTGACCACCCAATGTCCTTTCTTTGGGACAGTGAGCAGGGGAGCTTACAAGGGAAAAGAGAAGGCTCCCACCTGACCCCATAGTCCACCACCACAGCCTCCTTGGCCGTGCCAGTGATGGCATCGTGATGCTGGAAGAGCCCCAATGTGCGCCGAGCTTCCGTCAGGAGGGTGAAATCAGACAGTGGGTACCGGCCAGCCAGACCAGAGCGGCGAGCGTGAGCTGCAGCCAGGCTGTACAGAACCTCTGCCCCCCTGCCCAGAGAGAGAAGTTAGCTGCCAGCCTGCACCACTAGCCAGGGCCCACCCACACTCTGCCAGTGCAGCCTCCTTCCTTCCCACCCCTCCTCTACCTGCCCTGGCCTCTGGGCCTATCTATTCCCTTCTGAGCCAATCCAGCCCCTCCTTAAACCCCAAAGGCTGACTCTCCCCCTCCAGCCTGGAAGCGGGGACAGGGTCTCACCGCAGGTGGGCTTCCAGGACTCGGTCTAAGCTCTTGTAGAAGGGCCGGGAAGTGTAATAGCCTGTCCAGTAATGATCCTCCCGGTCCGCATAGGAGAAGAAATCCCCGCTCAGCACAGGAAACCCTGGAGGCCGGGCCCCTGGCTCCACCCCTGTCCTCTTGTACAGGGCATCAAAATAGTCAGAAAGAGTGCCAAACTGGGCCTGTGGGAACCCCAAAAACCCACTCCCATCAGTTCTAGAGCCTCCTGCAAATTGTGGCCACAGTGCTGCAGTTGGGGGTGAGGCAGGGGCTCTGGCCTCAGAAGCAGGAACTGTACATCCTGCCATTCTAGACTTAACAGAAGTAGGGGAGCCTGGGAATTAATTCTGACATAAAAGGGGCACCTTCGGCTGGGCGCGGTGGCTCACGCCTGTAATCCCAGCACTTTGGGAGGCCGAGGCGAGTGGATCACGAAGTCAGGAGATCGAGACCACCCTGGCTAACACAGTGAAACCCCATCTCTACTAAAACTACAAAAAATTAGCTGGGTGTGATGGCAGGCACCTGTAGTCCCAGCTACTTGGGCAGCTGAGGCAGGAGACTGGCGTGAACCCGGGAGGCGGAGCTGGCAGTGAGCCAAGATCGCGCCACTGAACTCCAGCCTGGGCAACAGAGTGAGACTCCATCTCAAAAAAAAAAAAAAAAGGGGGGCACCCTGCCCGAGTTGGGAACCCAGGGCACGGTCTCACGGGAAGGGATGGGCTGCAGCACTGTGAGGCCCCTCCCCAGTCAAGTGCCCCTCACACCTGCACATGGAGGTTAGGCCTGCTGTTGAAGAAGTCAAAGAGCCGTTGGTAGTTGAAGAACTGGGCATCCCACTCCTGGGGCTTGTCATATCGGAAGTCATCTCCAAGAGGCACCAGGAGGACGTTGCTTCGGAACAGCTGGGACTTCTTCCGGTATTGGTCCAGAAGCAGGGCTGCCCTGGGGCAGGAAAAAAAACATGGGCCCACCACGAAGTCTCATCAGTAAAAGAGCACCACGCACAGCCATCCCGCCAGCAAGCCCCTAGAAGACATCCCATCCACCAAGGAGTGGTTCAGCGCAAACAGACACCTCCTGCACATGAATCCCAGCCCCAGGGGAGTCCGGTGCTCTCTGGGCAGTTCTGACAGCTGACATGTTATTTTTTATGCTAGGCTGTTGAGATCTTTTGGGATCCTGGTTCTGACACTCCCGCCTCATTTTGCCCACCAGTTAGCGATGCAGCACCAAAGTGAAGGGTCTGGACCCCGGAGCCATATCACACCAGCTCCACAAGTACTAGCTCAGTGACTGTGGGCAAGTAACCTCTCTGAGCCTCCATTTCTAGCAAAATAAGGATAACATCCGTAGGTACCCATATAATGTTATGAGAATTAAAATGGATTGAATGGGCCGAGCGCAGTGGCTCACACCTGTAATCCCAGCACTTTGGGAGACCGGGGCAGGCAGATCACCTGAGGTCAGGAATTCAAGACCAGCCTGGCCAATATGGTGAAACCCTGTCTCTACTAAAAATACAAAAATTAGCCGGGTGTGGTGGTGCACATCTGTAATCCCAGCTACTCAGGAGGCTGAGGCAGGATAATCACTTGAACCCAGGAGGCGGAGGTTGCGGTGAGCCGAAATTGCACCACCGCACTCCAGCCTGGGTGACAGACTCCATCTCAAAAAAAAAAAAAAATTAAATTAAATAAATAAAATAAAATCAATGAATGAATATTTGTTAAACACTTAGAATAGTGCCTGGTACATAATGGGAACTATATATAAACATTTCTTTTCTTTTCATCCAAATTATTGGCAAAATCAGTAGAAAAACAGCCCTGTGGCACATCAGCAGAAGCCCTTTCCTACTTTAATTGGCATGTTATAAATATCACAGTCCAAAGAGTCAACTAATCTACTTAGCGGCGCTGGCCCAGCTTGTACTTTTCTACTCTGTTCTCATGAGAGGATTCCTCAAATACCACTTTCCCCTAACTTATCAGTCTAGTAAGCCTTTCAAAGGAGAAAATGGTTACCTTTCAGGGCCTGTTCTTGTAAACCTAGGCCAGCCTCACTGATCACAACTGCTGCTTTAAGAAAAGTCACGCCCTCATAGCCCTAGATTCTTGCCTGGAATCGCCATTTAGACTTCTGGAAACAAAAGACCACTTTATTTCCCTTTTGGTCACGTTTCAACTCTTGGACATCAGGGAGAAATCAGAGCATTGCAACATAAAAACCAATCCAACTTGTCGTATTCTTAAGGTTCTGACTAAATTGCTGTTTGGATCAACTCTTACCTAACACTTTCCCCCGGGGCCTGATTTCAGCAAGAGTGCTATCTTTAGGGGTCCCTAAATTCTCTCAAAAGGGACAGGTCTGTTTTCTCAGAGGCTGGAGGCTATCTCGTGGGACTGAATGTGGATCTGAACAGGATTCTCGTGGTTGACTTAAAGCCAAGTCAGAACACTGGCACTAAGTGAAGGCACATGAGCCTGAAGTTTGTAACATACATCTAACCTGGGAATCCTTCACCTCTAAGTTGTCAGCTGGCCCTGGCAGTTTGTTAGGGCATCAAGAAGTACTCATGTGAGAACCTAAAAGCATTCTGTGAAAGGTGGTTGCAAGAGCCATTCCAGTTTTTCAGGAGACTTAGTAAGGAGCTGCTGCTGCAGAGGCTAGGAGCCTCAACTCACCACCTGAGCCCACCCTCCACGTGGCACGGCCCAGACCAGAGCCAGGCCTCCCGATTCCTCTGTGAAGTGAAAGGGCTGGAAGCAGATACCTCTCTGCCACGTTGGCCTCTGTGATGGCCCGGGGTGGCACCTTCCAAGGGCAGTTGATGCGCCCACCAGGCAGGCGTTTGAAATCAAATTGGCAGCAGATCTTGGGATCTGGGCCACAGGTATGGGGGACGTCATAGCTGTAGAAGGGCATCATGTGACAGAAGATGTCTGTGCTGGAGTCCGAGTCTGCAGGAGACACACCACGTGGTCACCACCAGCAGGCAGCCTCTGGACGCCAGGGGGGCAAGGATCTGTTCAGGCTAAAGGCAGCCCTGATAGACCGCGAGGCTGTAACTGGACCTAGGGCTGGAGAGAGTGTGTAGGCCAGGGAGAAAGACATGAGGGGCTCCCTCAGGGGACGGGCACACAGGGCACGCTGAAGCCCTTGGGACAGCAGGCCCTGTAGAGGCCAGAGGTCAATATGGCCCTCCCCTAACCAGAGGGTGCGACCATTTCTGGCAGTCCACACCAGTGCCTGCAGGTCTGCTCTGAAGAACAGTGGGGGTCTTAGTTCTGATATCCCTGCTGTTCCCCAGTGAAGACTATGCTGCAGTAACCCCCTCTACCCTACCCGGCCTTACCCCATGTCTGCCTCCACATGAACTCTAGGCTGTGGGTGGCAGCAAAGTGCTTCTTGATGGCATAGTGCACTCTCTGAATCAGCATGCTGGTGAGGTTGGCACGGCGCAGCAGGTAAGGCATGGTGGAGCTGTATCCAAAGGGGTCCACTGCCCAGCCAGAGCGGGGGGTTGCACCTGGGCAGGGCATGGAAGCCAGAGAGGCCCTGAACACACCTCAGGGGCTGGCCCCCCGGCCTTCCAGGTGCTGGGACCCCAGCTCTTGTCCTGGTAGTGAGTGGAGAGATGATATCACACCAGGCCCACATGGTGGGATCTGCCTAGAAAGGAACCACCCCCTGCCGATCCCTGTGCCTTACAGCCCCTGCCTGTGCCTTACAGCCCAGGGGGCAGACCCCCATGCCTGGGCCTGGACTTACCAAGATTTCTCTCCAGCCACTGGTGTCCTTCGATGAGCTGGTCAATCAATGCAAAGTAGTGGGAATTGGCCTCATCTGGCATCACCCAGCCTCCTGTCGCAATCTCCAGCTGCCCGTTTCCCACCAGCCTATAGTTAAGGACTCACACTCAGGACGGAGCAGGACACTCTGCCCAGTCCTGCCAACCAGCAAATGTCAGGGCCTGTGTGCACTGGCCTCACTGGACCAGTTCTCCCAATCCCAGGACCAAGAGAACACACACTTGCCCTCCTTTCCTTACAGCCAACCTCCAGGCTATCCTGGCCCCGCTTATCTCGGAACCTATCTGTTTTTGCCTTCCCTCCCTCCACCATCACTCATCTCTTCCACAGCTCTCTGGGCCTCTCCCTGCCACCTTGGCACCCATAGCTTAAGGTAAGACCCGTCCACCCAGCCTGGGGCTCAGACAATGCCCTCCCATGCCTCCCCGCCTGGTACTGGCCTTCGGACTGCCGCTCTCTTTTGGACATTGATGTTGTCCCACCACTTGGCGAAGAAGGAGACCTCTGCCCAGAGGAAGCGCCGCCGGGGGTCCTCCTGCAGCTTAGACACCATGCTATTGAGGATGTGTTGGGTCTGCTCTGTGTAGTACTTGTCAAAGGTCTTGATCCAGCCTAGGGAGCCAATGTAGGGTCCCCTGAGGATGCCACCATCTTCTTCGACGTCCCTCCCTTGTATTGGCCATCAGAAATCCCACTCCACACTCCAGCTCCCAGGAGTCTGCAGGGCCCTCACCTGGGTCATTGTGAGAGTGGGGCACCACAAACACCTGCAGGTCTTCAGCATCCCAGTCGTGCGGGTCGTAGGAGATGTCGAAGCCTTGCCTCCACACACCACCATCCACGTTGTCAAACGGCAGCTCCTCCGACACAGTGAGCATCTGCCAGGTGAACTGCAGCTCAGTACCCCAGTCGTGGCCACTGTACGTCCCTGCCAGCTCTGACTCTTACCTGCAGCTCTGGCTTCTGACCCCGGCCCCCCAAAGCAAACTGGCAGTCCTGCGGGGAGATGGAGAAGAAGCTGGGCCGGGGCTCCGGTGGCACCACCCAGGAGCCATTGACCGTGTAGTAGGGCAGCATGGCGGGCGGGCCCTCTGCGTTGGCTGTCAGCTCCAGCACGGAGTCCTTGATATGGCTGATAATCTCATGGTTCTCCTCCAAAAGCTGCTCCAGCTGCTCAATGCGGTTCTGCAGCACAGAAATTTGGCTCTGCCAAAAAACCAGAAAGCAATCACACACAGCTCCTTATGCCACAGGGAGGGTCTCTGCTTGGGGTCTACCAGCTGAGGCCTGAGTACAATTCTTCCCTCATCAGTCAAAGCCAGACCATGAGCCTAGAGGGATAGATGACACCGTTCAGATAAAGGGAGCTGTGCAGATCACCACTGAGGACTACACTCCACTTGGGTTGGGAGAACCATCACTCTCTAGCTCAGGGATGGCAAAGATTTCCTTTCACCTACCTATTCTCAACAATCGGTGTTGCCTGTGCTGAGGATTTCAGCGGGGCTTAATGGCAAAGAATGCTGCAATCAATTAGCAATGTCTGCCAAGAATTCAGGAGGGGCTGGGCGCGGTGGCCCACACCTGTAATCCCAGCACTTTGGGAGGCCAAGGTGGGTGGATCACCTGAGGTCAGGAGTTCAAGACCAGCCTGGCCAACATGGCGATACCTCGTCTCGTCTCTACTAAAAATACAAAAATTAGTCGGGCATGGTGGCAGGCTCCTGTAGTCCCAGCTACTTGGGAGGCTGAGGCAGGAGAATTGCTTGAACCTGGGAGGCGGAGGTTGCAGTGAGCCAAGATCGCGCCACTGCACTCAAGGCTGGGCGACAGAGCGAGACTCTGTCTCAAAAAAAAAAAAAAGAAAGAAAAGAATTCAGGAGAACAGAGTGACAATACTCATTGCCATTGACATTTTTTCTTCCTTCCTTCTTTTCGCCATCACTGTTTTTAGCTGAGGGTTTCTACAAAACCTGACTATTGGGAAGGAAGGCTCCTGTCCTGTACTGACATTACCCTCCAGCGGGGGGTGGGAGGGGAGGCGGCGGGGTGGGAGGTGCATACCCTGAGCCCAGGTGACTTGTATACAAAGAAATTAGCAACCAGGCACGACTCACCCGGGGGAAGTTCCCACCATTCTGGTGTCGGGTGGGATCGTGTTGCACTCGGTCCAGCATGAGGTAGAGCGAGAAGACTGCCACACAGAAGATGGCAGCCCCACACACTGTCACCTGCTTTTTCAGCTTCATACTGGCCTCCACACACACCTGGCAGGAAGGACACCATCTGTAGCTCCAACATGCAAAATGCCCGTGGCAGTCTTTCCACCAAATACCCCAGTGAGTTCCTGAGGGCTGTTCCAAAGGAACACCCATTTGCCTGGCTCCAAGTAGCACAAGCAGCACATCTGAGGCTGGCCCACCTGGTCCTGGTAGCAGCTCTGCCGCTAGGGTGGAGAGGACGCTCTCCTTTGGCTGGTGCTATGAAAAACGGGCCCAGGATAAGAGTCCCAGCTCCGACTGGAGCGCACCACACAAGCTCCTGATTACACAGCTTCCCTGCCTAGATAGGAGGTGCCTGTTCAGGCTCCTCGGCCATGTGCTTCTAGTTTCAGGTGAATAAGCTAGTCTCTATTTTGTTTGATTTAAAAGTTTAGCCAGAACCCAAAGAGACTGATAGGAAAGCCTTTCTCAGTGCCCTTTCGGGTCAAACTGGCACTCACCAGAAACAGTGCCTGGCACGATCCTTTCTCAGAAACACAGAATGAGTTTCTTTCTAATAAAGAAGAAAGATGCTTGTGTTTCTAGCATAAAGCAAGCCCTGTGTGTTCTCCCTGTTTCTCTACTGTTCACTGCAGTGGGAAACTTCCAGCCGCGGTTTGCAGAGCACTTAGGGGACCCCTAGGAAGCCTGCAGTGACGCCGAAGGCCCCCTGGGAAGGGAGAGACGGGGCCCAGTGCTCAGCTGCGAGGCAACTTCAGGGGACCCGTGCCCCCCGCCGCCACCGCCCTCGGGCTCCGCTTGCCTGCTCAGGAGGAAGGAGGACGCTAACTGCGGAGCCGAGCGTGGGCGGGACCGCGCTCCGGAGTCTGCTCCGCGGGCCCTGGGGCCGAGGAGCTTTGTCGCCTCTGCGTTGTGCCCTACTTAGCGCGATCTGATTCTGCTCGGGAGCTTCCGGGCAATATTTTCAGCCCTTAGAGACTGGGTCTAGGCCAATGTGGGTGGAGCTGGGGAGAGAGTTGGATCACAGAGGGCAGGCACCTGCCGCCAGGTCTCTGGCCGCCCGCCCGGCTCCCTCCCCACCCGCTCCGACTTCGTCGGCCCCGGGGACCGCAGAGACAGGCGCCAGGTACGGGCCTCAGGCAGCCTCCTGTCCCTTCCTGGCCCCTCTGACGCCGCAGTGGCGCTCGCACTCCCGCCGCCCGAGCCCGGCCTCTGTCGGGGCAGCCGGAGCCCTCCCGCGCGCGCACCCGGCCCGTTACCGTCAGCGCCCGGCCTCCGCGCCGCTCCGGGCCCAGTCGGCCGAGCTGCCGGCTCTCACACGCCCGGGGACGGCGGCCCGCGTGCAGGCAGCGACGCAGGCGAAGGCGGGCGCCCGCCCACCCGTAGCCCCCTGCTCCGCGCGCCGCTGCCGCGCTCCCGCTGGGCCCCGGGCCGCCGGCGCGCTCCGCTGCGCCGGCCCCGCGCGGGTCCGCCAGCCTCTGAAGCTGCCGGGCCCAGCAGCGTGCGGGGCGGGGACAGCCGCGCCGCCCGCCCCGGCCTGCGTGTGCCCGGCGGAGCTGACAGGAGCTCTGGCCGCCGCGGTCCCCGCCCGGCTCCTCCCGGGCCCGCTCCGCTGGGCTGCAGTGCGCAGCCGCACCAGCCCGGGCCGGGCCTGGCCAGCTGCGGAACCTCAGGAGGGACGCGCGACTGAATTTTTTCGGAATCCTACTTGAGTAAGCGCATGATCGGGCAGTGGTCGAAACGCCCGCCTCCGTCTCGGCAGACGCGTAGCGGGGTGCGTTCTCCGCGGCCTCACCCGGCTCCGGCCCAGGTAGCCTTAGGTCTCTGTCGTTGCGCCCCTCGGGCAAAGGGGTGCTGCCTCCTGTCGGTACAGCGCATTCCTCGAGTCCCTTTCCTTTCCGTGCCTGCTCTATGTTTCCTGCCAGCGAGTGAACAAGACACAGACTTTTCTTGGCTGTTTCCCTTTTACTGGGCATCTAGGTTGTTTACAGTTTTTCAGTGTAATCCATACTGCAATGAACATCTCCATGAATTCCACATTTTTGTTCTTTTTAAGTTATATATAACATTATCTGAATGTGACCCCCCAAATTCATGTTCAAATCCTAATCCCTCAAGGTGATGATGGTATTAGGAGATGGGCCTTTGGGGGTGAACAGAGTTTGAAGGGAGAGCTCTCATGAATGGGATTAGTGCCGGTATCAAATGACCCCGAGAGTCGGCCCCTTCAACCACGTGAGAACACAGCTAGAAGGCACTATCTGTGCACCACAGGCAGGCCCTCACCCGACACTGAATCCGCTTATGCCTTATCATGGACTTTCCAGCCTCCAGAACTGTGAGAAAATACATTTCTGTTGTTGATAAACTACCTACTTTATGGTATTTTGTCCTAACAGCCCGAACAGATTAAGACGTTATTTTATGATGAATTTGCAACAGTGAAGTTACCCGGGCAAAAGATAAGGACAGAGATGACTGATGACACTATCGCTCCCCCAAAAGACTGTACCAGTTTACACCATCAATAACAAACTGCTGGATATTGCTTAAACAATGTTTTAGCTGATTAATGAGATATATAATGCCATCTCATTTTTAAAAATTTTCCTTTAAGTTCTGGGATACATGTGCAGAACATGCAGATTTGTTACATAGGTATACATGTGCCATGGTGGTTTGCTGCACCCATCAACCCATCATCTAGGTTTTAAGCCCCACATACATTAGGTGCTCTCCCTCACCTTGCCCCCAACCCCCGACAGGCCCCGGTGTGTGATGTTCCCCTCTCTGTGTCCATGTGTTTTCATTGTTAACTCCCACTTATTAGTGAGAACATGCGGTGTTTGGTTTTCTGTTCCTGTGTTAGTTTGCTGAGAATGATCAATGCTATCTCTTATTTAACGACCATTTCTTTTTTTTGAGACAATATCTCACTGTTTCCCAGGCTGGAGTGCAGTGGCACCATCTCAGCTCACTGCATCTTTGACCTTCCAGACTCAAGCCATCCTCCCACTTCAGCCTCCTGAGTAGCTGAGCCTTACAGGTATGTGCCACTACACCCAGCTAATTTTTTTATTTTTTAATTTTTTTATTTTTATTTTTTGAGACGGAGTTTCGTTCTTGTTGCCCAGGCTGGAGTGCAATGGCGCGATCTTGGCTCACTGCAACCTCCGCCTCCCAGGTTCAAGCGATTCTCCTGCCTCAGCCTCCCAAATAGCTGGGACTACAGGCACGTGCCACCATACCTGGCTAATTTTGTGTTTTTAGTAGAGATGGGGTTTTACCATGTTGTCCAGGCTGGTCTCGAACTCCTGACCTCAGGTGATCCACCTGCCTCAGCCTCCCAAAGTGCTGGGATTACAGGCGTGAGTCACTGTGCCCGGCCCTAATTTTTTTATTTTTTGTGGTGGGTGGGAGGGTCTCACTGTGTTGCCCAGGCTGTTCTCCAACTCCTGGGCTCAAGCGATCCCCCCACTTTGGCCTTCCAAAGTTCCAGGATTACAGATATGAGCCATAGTGCCCAGCTCTTTTTATTTTTTTATTGTTTTTGACAAGCTCTTGTCTGTCACCCAGGCTGGAGTGCAGTGGTGTGATCATGGTTCACTGCAGCCTCGAACTCCTGGCCTTGATCCTCCTGCCTCAGCTTCCCAAAGTGCTGTGATTACAGGGATAAGCCACTGCACTCGACTGCCACTTCTTTTATCACCATCAGGAACAGCTTTCCAGGTTTGTTTACTCACTGGAATGCCTGTTATTAGGGTGTTAGACCTAGACTGGGCTCATCATCCTCTTTGTCTTTTCATATTTTGCCTTGTGTTCTGGGAGATTTATTTTCCAGCCCTTCTATTGAATTTTCCATTTTGGTAATTTTTTTTTTTTTTTTTTTTTTTTTGAGACAAAGTCTCACTCTGTCGCTCAGGCTGAAGAGTGGTGGCGTGATCTCAGCTCACTGCAACCTCTGCTTCCCAGGTTCAAGTGATTCTTGTGCTTCAGCCTCCCGAGTAGCTGGGATTAGAAGCGCGCACCACCATGCCCAGCTAATTTTTGTATTTTTAGTAGAGATGGGGTTTCACCATGTTGGCCAGGCTGGTCTTGAACTCCTGACCTCAGGTGATTTGCCCACCTCGGCCTCCCAAAGTGTTGGGATTACAGGCGTGAGCCACCGTGCTCAGCCTCATTTTGGTGATAATCTTCTTTTTTCCTTCGTTTTGAGAGGGAGTTCTGCTCTTGTTGCCCAGGCTGGAGTGCAATGGCGTGATCTCCACTCACCACAACCTCTGCCTCTGGATTCGAGTGATTCTCTTGCCTCAGCCTCCTGAGTAGCTGGGATTACAGGCATCTGCCACCACGCCTGGCTAATTTGGTATTTTTAGTAGGGATAGGGTTTCTCCATGTTGGTTGGACTCGTCTCGAACTCCCAACCTCAGGTGATCTGCCCACCTCAGCCTCCCAAAGTGCTGGGATTACAGGCATGAGCCACCGCGCCCAGCCTGATAATCTCAATTTTCAAGAATTCTTGTTTGTTGTCTGGTGGTTCTTTTTTAAAAATTTAGGTACAGTTTACACTGTGTGGCACAAATCTTAAGTGTACAGCTTGATGGGTTTTGATAAATACATACACAAGCATAATCACCACCCAGATCAAAATGCAGGACATTCCCATCTACCCAAAATGTTCCCGTGTTAAGTGGCCAAGCAGTCCCTAAGCACACCATAGTGGCTGTCAGACTGTGGTCCAGCCTTGCCTATGTGGCCCATGTAGAGACACACATGGTTGTAAGGGCACCATGGTGAACCTTTTCCCCTCCATCTTCACACGCCTTTCCATCAGGACCCTCCAGACATAAGCACTGCTTTGACTTCTCTGTAACTTAGTTTTGCCTGTTCTTGAACTTCATAAAATAGAATCATAAGTATGAACTCTTTTCATGTCTGGCTTCTTTACTCAGTATGACTTTTTTTTTTTTTTTTTGAGACAGTCTTGCTGTCACCCAAGCTGGAGTGCAGTGGTGCGATCTCAGTTTACTGCAACCTCCGCCTCCTGGGTTCAAGTGATTCTCATGCCTTGGCCTCCTGAGTAGCTGGGACTACAGGCATGTGCCACCACACCCATCTAATTTTTGTATTTTTAGTAGAGACGGGGTTTCACCATGTTGGCCAGGCTGGTCAACTCTTGGCATCAAGTGATTTGCCCACCTTGGCCTCCCAAAGTGCTGGGGTTACAGGCATGAGCCACTGTGCCCAACCACGTCTTTGACATTCATCAATGTCGGTGCATATATTAGTGGTGTTTTGTTTGTTTGTTTTTATTGCTGTATATACGTTTGGGTCATTTTCCAGTTGTTCTGGACCTAATTTCTCTCTCCACTTCTTCTGTAACTTGAATTATTCATATAGTCCCATGTTTCTTAGCTTCCATTCTCTTTTTTCCTCTCTGTACTTCAGTTTAGGTACCTCCTTTTAACCTATTAAGTTCACTAATTCTGTTTTCTGATATGACTTAATTTCTAAATTCGATTGTGATTTTATCCTTTACTTCTATCAATGTTTATGAAATCCATCCAATGAGTTTGTAATTTCAGGGGTATTTTTCAGTTCAATAGCCTCCTTTCATCCTCTTTTAATAGATTCCAACTCTGTTGACATTCTCTACATTTGCTTCTTTTTTGTCCATCTTCTTCTCTATTTGACATATTAACCAAGTTATTTAAAAATCTTTGCCAGTTCCAATGCCTGGATCACATGTGGGTCTGCTTTTATTTATTTTTTCTTTTATGTATTAGCCCCACATTTCTCCATTTTTTGCATGGTTTATGATTTTTAATTGTATGTCACATATTGGGTATAAAAGAAGGATAGGGGCTTCAAATCTTGTTATTCCCTACAGGAGCTAGTCACTTCGATGCAATTACGTACTGAACTGGGTTGGGGCAGTGTTGGAATTGCAGTAAAATTCAATCCCCTCCTGGTTGTCCTTGTTCCTTAGGAATGGCCCTCTTGGATTTTGGATTGAAAGCCTAGTCAGTCTCTGTCTCTCTCAGATCTTAAAGTTCTGCTCTTCAGAGATTTAAAGGGAGCTCTTTAGCTTCCCAACCCACACAGGCGCAAAACCTGGCAAATACCTTATGTTGGGGAGACCAGCTATTTGTTCACTCCAGGCCTCCTCTCTAAACACTGCAAGACTGTGGGACTTGCCTTCTCAGTCTCCTGCACTGCCTCAGAACTCAGCAAATGTCCCATGGGGAAAACACTCTGCATTTTGTGCTCCTCTAGGTCCTAATCCATAGCAAGTCCTTGCAACTACCAAAAACTGTTCCTTTCTCTCTTCCCCAGTAGAGTCTCTCTGCTTGGGCCAAGTCTGATCCTCATGTCCCAAATGGGCAAATGTTTCAGGGAAGAAAATAGCTGCCTATCACTAGTTCAACTCGGAAGGGCTCTTCCCTCCTTGAAATTTTAGTCCATTCAGTCTTTATTTCTGTGACCACTCTTCATTCTTTTTAAAAATAAGACATTTCGGCCAGGCGTGGTGGCTCATCCCTGTAATCCCAACACTTTGGGAGGCCGAGGTGGGCGGGTCACTTGAGGTCAGGAGTTTGAGACCAGCCTGACCAACATGTTGAAACCCCGTCTCTACTAAAATTACAAAAATTAGCCGCTCGTAGTGATGCGTGCCTGTAATCCCAGCTACTCAGGAGGCTGAGGCAGGAGAATCGCTTGAACCCGAGAGGCAGAGGTTGCAGTGAACTGAGATCGCGCCACTGCACTCCAGCCTGTGCAACAGCGCGAGACTCCATCTCAAAAAAAAAAAAAAAAGAAAAAAAAAGACATTTTCATCTTAGCTGTTTTTTCCCTAGCGGTTGCAATGGGAGTGGTGGCGTGCAGAGACCTACCATATCCTACCTAGCAGAAGTTTTTCAGTTCTGCTTTCTACCATTTCCATTGGAGGTATTATTTCACTTCCTAGTATTTTCATTTAATTACACGACAACACAACTTCCTTTTGTTTAAACAAGTTATATGGCTCACTCTCATCTCTTTCAAAATAGATTTTTGTTTGCTGTGTTTTGTTTTTTTGAGACATAGTTTTGTTCTTCGCTCTTGTTGCCCAGGCTGGAGTGCAATGGCGCGGTCTCTGCTCACTCCAACCTTCATCTCCCCGGTTCAAGGAATTCTCCCTTCTCAGCCTCCAGAGTAGCTGGGATTACAGGTGCACACCACCACGCCTGGCTAATTTTTTTTGTATTTTTAGCAGAGACGGAGTTTCACTATGTTGGCCAGACTGGTCTCGAGCTCCTGACCTCAGGTGATCCACCTGCCTCAGCCTTCCAAAGTGCTGGGATTATAGGTGTGAGCCACTGCACCCAGCTGATGTTAACTATTTCCTGAACTTTCTTGAGGGATGGCCATTTTACTTCAAGGTTTTCATTGCCCTGTTCTGTATTACAAATGTTTCCCACTTTGTTTTTTAGTTATGTTCATACTTCCTTATCTTCTCAAACTTCGCTTTTGGTGATGTTAATATTTCAGATGACTTTTTAGGTTTCACTGGGACTTAGGGGAGGAGGTGAAGGCTCCCCAGTCTGCCATCTTATTCCTCAATAAATTCATCTTGAGAAACAACTCCCTCAAAAGCATTTTCTTCCTCATCAGCCACATCAGTCTTCTTTGAGTGGAACTCTCTTCTCATCTCCTCCTGAATTTTATGCGAGTGTTATACGCATCCATAGTGTCAGCTACTCTCTAATATTCATAAGCCAATGATTCACACATCTATTGCCAGCCTTCATCTCCATCTGGGCTTCCAGACCTATTCATCTACATTTTAAATTAATTATTTATTATTTTTATTTACTTATTTTTGAGACAGGGCCTCGCTTTGTTGCCCAGGCTGGAATGCAGTGGTGTGATCACAGCTCACTGCAGCCTCGACCTCCGAGGCTCAATTGATCCTCCTACCTCAGCCTTCTGAGTAGCTGGGACTATAGGTGTGTGCCACCACGCCTGGCTAATTTTCTTGGTTTTTTGTTTTTTGTTTTTTGTTTTTGTAAAGATGGAGTTTTGCCATGTTGCCCAGGCTGGTCTCAAACTAGGCTCAAGCAATCCACATGCCTTGGCCTCCCAAGTACCTGGGACTACAGGTGTCTACCACCACACCTGGCTTCACCCACACTTTTATCTCCAATAAAATGCAACATCTCTAAACTCAACATCCTCCTCGAAGCTCTGATCCTCTTCCTATAATCCTATTTCAGGGGATGACACCGCCATCTGGCCATAGCCTGTATATCATCCTGATCTCTCCCCCGCCTTCCGCATGTCTCACATCCAGCTGCTACTAAATCATGTCAGCTCTGCCCCATGCATACTGCCTGTCCTCCTCCTTCCCCAAGGCCACCATACCGGCACTTGTGCCTTCTGAGACCTGCCTTCCAGAGGAGTGCACATGCCAGGAGTGTTCAGTGGGCACAAGTGGTTTTATTGTTTCTGCCCGGAAGAGGAAGCCCTGGCAGCAGCAGGGACACAGAGAGGACACGGCGCTGCATCCTGCCGGCAGTGTGGATGCTGGTGGCAGGAGTCCAGGACTGTGAAGAGCTGTCAGCATATGAGCTGGAGCCGCTGAGGAGCTGCACCTAGGCCTGCAGAGGCCACCAGCTTGAGAAGGGGGTCCCAGCCTCACCGATGCCGCTTTCGGATGCTCTGCAGCTCCTGGTAGATGGTGCTGAAGCTGGGCCGCTGCCCAGGCTCATAGGCCCAGCACTGCTCCATGAGCCTGAACACGGCATCAGGACACAGCTCTGGGCAGGGCAGACGGCCCCCTGTGAGGAGAGGCACAGCACACCAGGCATGAGGAGGGAGTTTGAGGGTCCTCGGCAGACTCTGGGGGATACCATGAGCCATAGGAGCTGCTTAAGATGCACTGTTCTGAAGGATGCACTGTTCTCCACCAAGGGCCCAAAGGACAAAGAGGCCTGGCTTCTGATCCTAATCCTACCACGTGCTAGCTGTGTCCCCTCTGCCAGCCTGTTTTTCCATCTGAGAAAGGGACATATTAATCCCTACCACACATGTAGTGATGAGCAAATGAAATAACATGTGACCTAGCACAGACCAGGTGCTCACTCAGTAGTAGCTACAGGGATATTCTATTTTTTTTTTTCTTTTTCTGAGATGGAGTCTTGCTCTGTCACCCACGCTGGAATGCAGTGGTGTGATCTCAGCTCACTGCAACCTCCACCTCCCAGGTTCAAGCGATTCTTGTGCCTCAGCCTCCCAAGTAGCTGGGATTACAGGCTTGCACCACTACACCTCGCTAATTTTTTGTATTTTTAGTAGAGACAGGTTTTGCCATGTTGGCCAGGCTAGTGTCAAACTCCTAGACTCAAGTGATCCACCTTCCTCAGCCTCCCAAAATGTTGAAATTACAGGCGTGAGCCACTGCGCCCAGGTTTTTTTCTTTTTCGAGTCAAGGTCTCTCTCTCTCTCTGTCACCCAGGTTGGGGTGCAGTGGCATGATCTCAGCTCACTGCAACCTCCACCTCCCGGGCTCCAGTGATCCTCCCACCTCAGCCTCCCGAGTAGCAGGGACTACAGGCGCATGTCACCACACCCAGCTAATTTTTGTATTTTTTGTTTTTTGGTTTTTTTTGAGATGGAGTTTCACTCTTGTCGCCCAGGCTGGAGTGCAGTGGCACAATCTCGGCTCACTGCAGCCTCCGCCTCCTGGGTTCAAGCAATTCTCCCACCTCAGCCTCCCAAGTAGCTGGGATTACAGGCACGTGCCACCATGCCTGGCTAATTTTTGTATTTTTAGTAGAGATGGGGTTTCACCATGTTGGTCTGGCTGGTCTCAAACTCCTGACCACAGGTGATCCACCTGCCTCGGCCTCCCAAAGTGCTGGGATTACAGGTGTGAGCCACCGTGCCCAGTCTATTTTTGTATTTTTTGTACAGATGGAGTTTCACTGTGTTGTCCAAGCTGATCTTGAACTCCTGGGCTCAAGTGATCCACCCAGCTCAGCCTCCCAAAGTGCTGGGATGACAGGCGTGAGCAACTGGCCAGGTTATTCTTATTCTGCCTGGTGGGAAGGTTGGCATTAAGGGAGTTAGAAGAGTCCGGCTGGAGCATCTGGAAGAGGGTGCAGCCTGAGGCTGCTGTCATCACAGGGTGCTTACCCTTCTCCACAAACTCCCGTGTCTGCTGATTGCTGAGGTTGGGATAGGGGGAGGCCCCCAGGCTGAAGGTCTCCCAGAGCAAGATGCCAAAGCTCCACACGTCGCTTTCGGAGGAGTAGCGGCCTGCAGAGGAGGCGAGGAGGTGAGGCAGCGTGAGTGCACCCTCCCTGGGGCCAGGGCGAGGCAGCCGGCAGGACCCAGGCCTGGCCTCTGGCCATGGAGTCCAGGGTAGACAGGGACTAGGTACCGTAGTTAAGGGCCTCAGGTGCGGTCCACTTCACGGGGACTTGTCTGAGGCCCCCTGAGGCTGCATAGACCCCATCGGCTTCCTCTCGGGACATCCCAAAGTCACTGATCTTCAGGACATTCTTCTCTGTCACCAGGCAGTTCCGAGCAGCCAGGTCCCTGGGTGAGACAGGGCAGGGGCTCATTTGGCCAACAGTCGCCTGCCCAGCCCTGGCTGAACACTCTAGGAAAGCCAAGGACAAAAGCTGCTCCCGGCCCTGGGCACCCCTGTCTACCACAGAGGCCAACTCCCCCTCTGGAGCTGATGCCTGATGGTCCAGCGGGGGGCCCTAGGGGTATAGGTACCTCTTGACTCTGGTCGGGGGTGTTGGCAGGGCCCGTGGCCACCGCCCACTCACCGGTGGATGCAGCACTTGCTCTCCAGGTACTCCATGCCAGCAGCTGCATCCCCCACCATCTGCAGCAGAGTCTTCACCCGCAGGCGGGCCCCCTCCGTGCGGAGGAAGGTCAGGAAGTCGCCCCCTGCAGGTGGGGAGGACCCCTGCTGAGCCTCCTGAGGTAAGGCTGCCACCTGACCAGGCTGCGCGCCCTACCTGGAGCTCAGCGCCCCGCGCTCACCCTGCACAAGCTCCATGACGATGTAGATGGGCTGCTTCTGGGTGCAGACACCAATGAGACGCACGATGTTGGGGTGGCTGTACTGCTTCAGGATCCTGGAGGGCACTGCTGCTCAGGATCTACGTGGCCAGGCCCGCCTCCCCAGGGCCCCCCAGGGATGATGGGAGAAGAGCTTGGCCTCCAAGGCCAGCAGACCCGGACGTGTGACCTGGGGCAGCCTCTACCCTTCGGCACTATAAGGGGGTACTACCCGCAATGGGGGGCCTCGAGGACTAAACACCACCACGGTGGTCAAGCACTTCACACTGTGCCATGCAGTGTAACCTCTGTGTATGCGGGACCCGTGGTGATCATTAGTTTATCACCCACCTCGCTTCCTGTAGAAACTTGGCCTTGAGGTCAGGTGGGAGCGTCTCTCGACAAGACTTCACCGCCACCAGGGTGTTGTCGGCTCGCAGGCGTCCGCTGAACACTTCGCCAAAGTTCCCCTGAAACGGTCTTGGGCTCCTACCACGGCCTTCCCAGTCCCGCAGTTCTCTTCTCCGCTTCCTACCCATTCTGCTTCCTACCCCTGGGTGAGGGGCCCCCGTGTTCGGACCCCTCACCCAGGCTCTCTGGGAGTTTGACCCTCGCTGGGGAACCTAGAGAGCACATGGGGCAGGCAGGGAAAGTTGCCTCCGATGTGCCACCCTTCCTGAGAGAAGTGACATGGAAATCCAAAAATCACTCTCCCTTGGGTTTGAAAAGCATTCTGATTTTTAGGACAGTGACTTCTTCCCTAAACAGGTATCTTATGGCTTACAGTAACAGGGTGTCTCCCTGCGTGCACACAAGAGCTCGATGGGGGCGGCCTGGGTGGGGGTGATGAGGTCAGGGTGCTGGCAGAGCTGTCTGCTGGGAGTTTTCAGGGTAGGTACTGTCCCGTTTCCTGGAGGATGGTGTGTGGTGGGGGCTGGGCAGGGAGTCGGGGTACAAGTGGGGAATCAGATGGGGCAGGGAGGTCTCTGGGTGGTAGGGCAGGGGGCCCAGGCGCGACTCAGGAGAAGTCGCCAGCGACAAGGAGGCCAGCAGAGGCGCACTCACCCGTCCAATCTGCTCACCCAACACCAGGTCCTCATGGTTCAGCACCCACTTGTCCTGGGGAAGAGAGGAGACAGGGGATCAGAAGTCTGAAGAAAAGGGGTGCTGGGCCCTTAGAAGGGCTGTGTCCTCCATTTTTTGGCGCCTCCATATGTGACCAGGGGTGGGACCACGTGGGGAGCACACTGAGATGACTACGGGGTCCAGGCAGGTGCCCTGACCAGGTAAGCACCAACCTGGTGTGTACAGCCCATGGCATAGGAGTGGCCCTGACATTCCAAACCTAGAGCAAGGCTGGCCCTGAGGGTCACTCACTCTGCATCTTGTATGTAGACGGAGGGCCTGGAAAGCCCTTTCTGCTCAGACGCTGGGTGGGCCTGACCCACACTCCCCAAGCCCTGCCACAGGTGGCATGGGCCAGGCTGGGTGCAGGCTCACCTTGGGCACAGCCCTGTGCAGGACAACACCACTCTTCTTGGTGAGGGGCTGCTGGGTGCTCAGTAGGTGGTCGATGAGCAAAGGAATGCTAGGAAAGCCTTCCCCTTCCAGTCGGTACAGGTTCTGCAGGGCAGGGGACCCGGGGTCAGCAGCCTCCATTCTGAGGGGGCGTGAGCCCTGGGAGGGGGAAAGGGAGAGCAGCAGGGGAGAAAGGGCCTGCCCAGGACCAGGGGCAGAGAGACCTCCAGAAAAGATGCCATCTGATGGCACATGACATCCTGCTGCCCCACCAGGGGAGGACTCACACTTAAGCCTCTATTTTGTTGCAGGGACAGGGTGGTCTCTGTGGCCCCTTCCAGCCAGCCCTGCTAGGGAGGCATCCAAGACCTGGCAGCTACCCCCTACCCTGAAAGGCCATTTCCCTTGGGGAAGGGAAGGGAGGGGAAGAGTGAGGCCTGGAAGGCTCGGGTCCCAGCCCCACTCACATCCAAGGACTGGATGATGAAGTGCCGGGGCAGACCATCCCACAGCACCGACAGCACGTACTCCTGCTTGCCCTGGCTCTCCCGCACCAGGAAGTCCCCAGAGTGCACCAGCAGCTCAGCCACCTCTGCCCTCGGGATGGCCCCGTGGTACCACAGCTGCTCATGCAGGGGCTTCTGCACCTCCGGAATGAGCTGCAGCGGTGGAGGGAGCTGGGCAAGGGAGGATCGAGGAGGAGTCACTTAACCACCTTGTTGAAGAGGCCGTGGGGGCAGCCGGGGGTCTCTCTCTCCCCCCTATATGCCCTCAGCCCTTACAACCATGGAGTGGCATGCAGAGCCATCCACAGGCCCCTGGAGTGGGCACTGGACTGGCCCAGGCTCACGCTGGGCAGAGCTGGGAAGGGAAGCCCAGGCAGGAAGACCCCAAACCAAGCTGGTGCCTCCTCCTCCAGGCCACAGGCCCCCAACCCGCTCCTGAAGCAGGGAGAGCCATGGAATAGTCGAGGTTGCTGGTCCCTTTAGCACACTGGGGCGATGGAAAGGGAGGGGTCACAGGGGCAGGGTCTGGGGACATCTGCAGCCTGGAATCCCAGGGAAGAGAGGAACTTCCCAATACAAGCAGCCTGGGCAGAGCCTCCTCTCTAGGACATCCCAGTGATTAAACTCGAAACACAACAGTAGGGGGGCCCAGGCTGGGCGCCACTCACCGAGAACTTGGGGCGGAAGATTCCTGAGATGTGGCTCTTAAGGATCTCCAGCGTGGGTGTCCTTCCCCCCTCTCGCTCCTGCTCCTGAGGCCAGGGACAGACGTCAGCGGGTGGCCAGGCTTAGGGAGGGGGAGGGCGAAAATGAGGAGCGCAGCCCCAGGTGGGCAGGCCGGTGGCGGGCAGCGGCCGCGGATGGGGCAGCTCACCGAGGACGACGTGGAGTGGCGGTCATCCTGCAGGAGCAGCACAGGCGGGGGCTCGCCGGGGCCCAGGTGCTCCAGCTTGGTCTGCAGCAACTCCTGCTGGGCCTGCAGCTTGGCCTGGCTGCACAGCGCTACCTGCAGCCCCTGCAGTGCTTCTTGCAGCACTTGCCTCTTGCCCAGCAGCTGCACCCTGCAGGCAGGGGCGGGTGGGAGGGTGGATGAGAATAAGGGCTCGGTCTGCGGCGGGTAGCCAGCAGCAGTTAGGGTAGGTAGGAGGGAGGGAGGCCCAGGAGGCTGCTGCAGGCAGGGGCCCACTCACCGCTCCCGGGGGTGGGTGTTCTCCTCTTCATTCCGGAGCTCCTGTTGCAGCTGCGTAACCATCTCCTGCCGCCTGAACACCATCTCGGTGGCCACAGCCAGCTCATCTGTCACTGAGGTCAGCCTGCACCCAAGAGAAGGGCAGCATTAGAACCGAGCCCTCCTGCCCCCTCAACCCAGGTCCAGTGCATCCCTGTAGAGCCAAGCAAGCCCGGCCACCTGGTGACAGCTCTGTGTGGACAGTCTCCACGACCTAGCCCTGCCTACATAAACACTCGTGGTCTGCTGGGAGCCCCGCCGCAGCCCAGGTGCAAAGCCACCACCCACGTGTGCTGCACGCTCTCCACAGTCAGCTCGTTCAGCTGGAGCTCCCCAGGCTCCAGCGGTTCACCCTCCTCAAGCAGTGACTCATCGAACGTGACACAGGGTGGGACGTCAGGTGCGGACCTGTGGGGGACAGCGCCCCGTCAGTGGACAGGCCAGCAGCCCTGGGCCCAGCAGGAGCAAGGACGGGGCTTACCCATACTGTCGCAGGAAGCCTTGGTACTCAGCCTCAGGCTGGATGCGGGCAGCAGCTGCAGCCATCTCCCGGTGAATGGCCACCACCTCATCCTGCACCAGGCTGCTAATCTCCAGGTATTCCTGCAGGATCTCCTTCCTGCCCCCGAGACGGGATCCCCAGTCAGGGGAGCCTCAGGCTGGGCAAGGCTGGGCAGTTCAGGCCTAGGACCCTGGGTTTGGAGTCAGGGCTGGGGTTGACCCCTGCCTCACTTCGAGCTAGCCATGCCACTCTAGGCAAATTATTTAACCTCTCCCTAATCTTCTATTTCCTGATATATATAAGAGGGACACTGGCAGTTGTAATAAGGATCCAGTGGGCCAGGCACAGTGGCTCACGCCTATAATACCAACACTGGGAGGTCGAGGCGGGTGGATTGCCTGAGGTCAGTTCGAGACCAGCCTGGCTAACGTGGTGAAACCCCATCTCTACTGAAAAAGCAAATACAAAAATTAGCCAGGCATGGTGGCACATGCCTGTAGTCCCAGCTACTTGGCTACTCGGGAGGCTGAGGCAAGAGAATCGCTTGAGCCTGGGAGGTGGAGGTTGCAGTGAGCCAAGATCGCGCCACTGCACTCCAGCCTGGCGAAAGAATGAGACTACATCTCTAAATAAATAAATAAATAAATAAATAAATAAATAAATAAATAAATAAATGAACTGCTATCCTTGTCTCCTAAACCTCTTCTTCCCACAGCCTTCCCTACATAAGTTAACAGCCACTCCATCTTCCAGCTGCTCCAGGCCAAATCCCCAGAGTGACCCCTGACTCCTCTATTTCACGCCCCACTTCCAATCCATAGGGAAATCCCACTGGCTTCACCTTCCAGGACCTGACCGCGCCTCACCTCCATTGCTACCTCCCCGTCCTAGTGGCCAAAAGCTTGGATCTGGATTATGGCAAGAGCCTGCTCTCTGGCCTCCCAGCTTCTGTCCTTGCTCCCTGAAGTCTATTTGCAGCACAGCAGCCAGAGTGGCCTTATTAAAACAGAGGTCAGGGCTGGGCATGGTGGCTCATGCCTGTAATCCCGGCACTTTGGGAGGCAGAGGCAGGCAAATCGCTTTGAGCCCAGGAATTAGAGACTAGCCTGGGCAACATGGTGAAACCCCATCTCTACTAAAAATACAAAAATTAGCTGGGTGTGGTGGCGCATGCCCGTAGTTCCAGCTACTCGGGAGGCTGAGGCAGGGGAATCACTTGAACCTGGGAGGCGGAGGTTGCAGTAAGCCGAGATCATGCCACTGCACTCTAGCCTGGGCGGCAGAGCGAGACTCTGACTCAAAAAAAGTTAAAACAAAATGAAACAAAAAAACAGAGGTCAGATCATGCCATTCTTGTTCACCCAGAGCCAAAGTCCTCACCATGGCCCTGCTAGACCCTCTATCACCCAGTAGCCCTTGACGCCTGCCTCCTCCAGCCTCGTGTATGACTCTCCCCCTCCCTCACTCTCAGAGGCACCACTGGTTCCTGGCTATTAGTCCCTGGTACTCTCCTACCTCAAGGCCTGTGTAATTGCTGTCCTCCTTTCTGGAATGGTCTTTCTCCAAATAGCCCCATGATTCACTCCCGTACCCCTCTCAGGGGCCTCTTTGAATGTCACCTCTCAAGAGGCTTTCCCAGATCACTCTATGGACAACTGTCACCTCCTCCCTTGCCTCCGTGCTCCCAGGTCCCGATCCACTTCTCTTGCTTTATTTTTCTCCATGGCTCTTAGTGCTCCTCACATCCTCACTCCACTAACACGAAAGATCCCTGAGGACAGATGTTTTTGTCTACCATCGTTCTCTGGTATAATCCAGAGCCCAGAACAGTGCTCAATGAATGTAATAAAACCCTGGAATAATGAGACCCTGGAATAGTGTAATTCAGAGGTAAGTTGCCTGTTTCCAATCCTTGGCCCAGGTCCCGTTCTCATGTGGTTACATGGCCAGCACCTTCCCAGCAATGGATTTTCTGGGTCCTGCCTCTGGGCCTGATGGCTGGGCTTAGGGCTGCTCAAGGGTGGGGGCCAGGGGACGGGGCTGCGGGCTTACAGGATGCAAGCCATCTCCTCGTGCAGGTCCTGCAGTGACCGCAGCAGGCCGGGCAGCAGGAGCTGGTGGTGGTGCTGGTGGTGTAGCTGCGCAGCCCGCACGCCCAGCACATAGCGGTTGTGGTGAGCAAAGAGCTTCCACAGGCTGCGCACATACTTGTCCTTAGCCTTGTCACGGTCCTTGTCTGCCAGAAGGGGGGCAAGGGGTATAGATGACAGCATGGAGGCCCAGGCAGCCCCCACTCTCTGGGTACCCAAGGACAGGTCAGCACTGGCTTCGGATTCCCTCCCTGCCAGCAAGGGAAGCCACGAACCTTTGCTGGCCTCCTGGTACTTGCGCTTGGCTTGGGCACTGTCCCGTGCCAGAGCTCGGTACTGGCTCTTCAGCTTCTCAATGTCCTGGCTGTGGGTCTAGGGAGAGAGGAGAGGCCAGTGTGGGGCAGCAGGTCCCCAGTTGTGGAAGATTCTTGCCTGGGGTGAAGCCCTGGAAAGGTCCTGTCGTCAGGCAAGGAGCACCTGGAGACTTCTGGGAAAGCTGGCTGCTGACGTGAGAGTCAAAGATCAGAGAGCCTGTTAAAGACAGACCCCTTGGGGAGGCAAAGAGGTAGACTACAGGCTACAATGGTCCCTCCTTGGACTGACAGTGGTAGCCTGGTGGCAGGCAGGGCCAGTTGCAGGTGTGCACGGCCTGTGCAGTCACACGGGGCTCCACATGTAGAAGGGCCCTGTGCTTGGTTTCATTCTCCATTATTGCCACCTGGAAATTCCTAGCAATCTTTTAACAAAGACCCCCACAATTTCACTTTGCACTGGGTCCTGCAAATTATGTTCTTGGCAGTAGGAATAGATGACAGCCCGAGATCAGTGTTCTCGTCCCAGTTCTCCTGTTTATGTGCTGGGATATGTTGGGCAAGCGCCCAACCTCAGTTTCCCCATCTGTAACTGAGCTAGATTCCTCGACTAGATCAGTCTTTTTCTTAAAGGGCCAGATAGTAAATAAATATTTTACGCTTGTAGGCCATAGAGCCTCTGTCACAATTACTCAACTCTGTCATTGTAGTCACAGACAATATGAAAACAAAAGGGCATAGCTGTGTTCCAGCAAAACTTTATAAAAATGGGCCCACCCTTGAATCAGATGATCTTTTGGGGCGAGGAATGGGGCCAGGGTGGCCACCAGGGGCCGCTGTGGGTCCATGGCAAGGCTGGGCTCTGCACTTGAGGAAGGGGTGTGGTGCAGGGAGGGTGACCAGCACACTGAATGGGGGCACTAGGCTCCCAGATAAATAGTTCCAAATCACACAGCCTCTAGACTGAGGAGCTGGGTGGGATTCAAACCTAGGCAGGCTGACTTCACGGCCCGAATCCTCGACCTTCGGGGGGCCATGCTGCTGCCCAGTCTCTGGGGCCCTGAGAGGAGGCTGCCTAGGTCGAAGGCAAACAGACTGACCCTCATTCCTCTCCCTGACTCTCAGAACCCAGAGCCAGATGGCACAGTGTGGAGGCGAGTACCGATTCTGAGCTTCTCCCAGGCACGTGACCGGTCACTCATCCTTACACTCCCAGCACTTTGCCCAGGCACAGAAAAAGCACAGAGAGGCCTTGCTGCAAGCCAGCTCAACGTAGGGGAAGGAAGAGAGGAAGCTGCATCAAGGTTAGAGCAAGCCAGGCCTGCGGTCAGGGACTTACACTTCCCCAGTGAATCCAGGGCCTCTTGTGCAAAACAACCCCTTCGAGGCTCAAAATTTAGACAGAAATGACCGAAGCCCCAGTGCTGCCCGCTCACCTTGGTGAGCTCCTGCTGCAGCTGCTGCCACTGCTCGCTGTAGGTCTTGCGAAGCTGCTGCCGTTCCCGGATGAGCAGGCTCAGCTTGCTCAGGGGCCCTGAGTTCAGATCCTCTGCGTGCTGCCGCAGCAAGCGGCTCAGGCCCTCAGTTTGGCTGGTGATCTCAGCCCAGGACTATACAGCACAGATGGGGGAGGCAGGGAGGGGGGCACAATGGCTCCCAAGCATTGGCCTGCCAGATCTCCAGCCACTGCCCCAGAGGGCCCCCAGGAGAGGAAGGAGAAGGCAGATACAGCCAGCACCCACCAGAGTCCCATAGAGACCCACCTGACTGATGGGGCTGTCAGGGCTGATGGCCCGGCTCTGGCCCCCACTGTCCTGCAGGGACATGTGGTGAAGCAGTCCTGCATACTCCCTGTCACTCTTGACCCGCTGGGCCATCCACTTTCTCATGCCCTCCAGTAGACGAAGCTCGGCCTCCTGCATTTGCTGCAGGACCCCGTGGCCCTGGGGGCTGCACAGCTCGGAAGAGAAGCCCATAGTGCTGTTCTGGGGACAGAAAAGGGGCCATCCCTGGAGGCAAGGCAGCAGCTGGAGACGGAGGCATGGGACGAGGAGACTGGGGACTGTAGGGTCAGGATGGACTGCAGACGGGGAGGAGGTGGGGTCCTGCCTCGCTCACACGCAGCCATGGGTACCCAGCAGCAGCCTGGCCTGGGGACTGGCCCTCATTGCTTCCTTAGCGTCAGGGTCTCCTCCGCACGTTCGGGAACAGGAGCCAACCTGGAGCCTCCCTCCCCAGGCCCTTCCACCCACCACCCCTTACAGGGACACCCTTGCCCAGGTCCTCGACAGGCCAAGCCTGCCCCAGCTGAAGCCTCAGGCGCCCACAGCCTGAGCCCTGCCCCTGCGGCCATCCCCGCCCTTCCGCGGCCCCTACCCCCACCTGGGTGGGTCTCTGGCCCTCGGAACGCCTGCTCTGCCCCTGCCTGCCGCGCCCCCAGCTCCCACCGCTCCTCCAGGCCCCGGGGCTAGAGGTACCCGCACGGGCAGCTGCTCCTGGGACGGCCTCGGACCGACTCAGGCCCGGTGCGGACCCCGGCCAGTTCCTGATTCCGCGCTTCCTCCTCCCGCGGTTTCAGTTGGCCCAGGCCCCGGGGCGGGCCTGTGGAGGGGAAGGGGCGGGCGGGACCGGCCCGACCGCCCCGACGCCTGCCAGCCCCCCTGCTCCGCGCTGGGCCGCAGCCTCTAGCCGGCCGCACGGCCACGGAAACGGAAGGGAGGAGGGGGCCGGGAAAGAATGGCCCAGCCAAGAGCCGCCCGCGCCCCGCAGGCCCCAGGGCCCGGCAGCGCCCCGGGAACACCGGGAAGGGGCGCAAGGTGGGGGTCAGGAGGGGGAGCCCAGGGCGAGGCCCCAGGCAGATGCTGGGCCCAGGGAAGCCCAGGGTGTCCGCGGGTACTGAGGGGAGGCGCGCAGTCCTAGCACCAGGCCAGGGCCACCGCAGAAGAGAAAGAGGGAACCCTGGTCCCAGCCCTCCCCACCTCACGGAATTCCCTAAGGAGAGGCTCAGGCGCCAGCTTCCATTTGAATAAAATTTCCAAGTAAATATCCCGAACAGAGACTGCTTCTCGGATACAGATCCTAGTGGTTTTGTCCCCATCCTCCTACCCCCAGGCAGGGGCTTCCTGTCCCAAGGGAGACCTGGGGAAATCAAGGGGCAGGGGTTGGGGAGCGGACAGGCGTGGAGTTTTCCATTTGGGACTCAGGCTCCCCACAAGAAGTCATCTTGATTCAGTCAGGCCTCCCTCCACCTTAGGCCTCAGCCCTATAGCCTGTGGCGACCAGATCACTTCAGCCCAGGAAGACACAATAGGCCCAGTTCTTCACACTGCTGGAAACCAGGACTTTGGGAGTTTAGTGCTCAGCTCCTGAGGACCAGGGGTCACCAGCCCCACCCCAGGGGCACCAGCTCCTCCACTAGGGGCTGGCGCATCCTCCCGCCCCTTGGAGGACTTTGGCCTTCTGACTTGGGCCCACATCCAGGCAGGCAGGCCACTGTGTAGGCCTAACTGGCCCCCTATCCTCAGCTGCGATGCAGGAGCAACGGTACCACACTGGAGACTGGGCCTGGTTTGCATAGTCTGCACGTTTAATCACTTTAAAACCTCTAACATTATCTCATGTCCATTAAATAGAACCAGCAATGCTGGGCCTGTTTAAATTACAAGAAAAAAATCACTGTGCACCAACCCAGCATCTTACAAAACCAGCCGGGCTGGCCACGAGGGCAGGGGGATGGGAGAGGAGGGGGCACCCCTGGGCAGATGGCTGGGTACCAGGAATGGCTAGGGTAGAAAAGAAAAGGGGACTCCCAGATGGGAGGGGACTGATTGTCCTAATGGGAGGGGTGCAAAAGGCACGTCAGAAGAGGAGGTTTGAGGGGGGCATGACAGGTCAGTGCTTTCTCCACCAGGGCACAGTGTTGGGGGGGCTCAGTGCCACCACCTGCCCACCTCTGGCACTTGGAGAGCCAGTGACCTATGAACCCCCGGCATGGCGAGCCCCACTTGAAACACAGATGTCAGCCTGCCCCTCCCACTGGGACCCCCTTTCCTTGAGCCCGCCTGGCTGGCCCGCCTCTTCAGGACTTGGGGCTCAACTATTCCTCACTCCTCAGCAACATGCTGCAGCCCCCACACCTCAGGGCCAGGGCAGCCAGGGAGGAGCAGGGCGGACGGTGGGTGTGAGAACGTGGGTAGTCCAGCTGCTACCCCCATTAAAAATACAAAAACAAATCATCAGCATCTAAAGTGAAATAATCACAAAGTGAAAATATATCCTCAAACAGCCCCTGAGATCCCCACAGGGGAAAGCAGCATCGGGTGGGAGGCCAGAGAGGCCGGCTGGGCCAGCGCCCCTCCCCACCACCCACCCAGGGGCTCCAGGTCTGTGAGTGCCAACAGCCCAGGCAGCCCGGGCTCAGAAAACAGGGACTTGGGCCCTGACGGGAGAGGCGGGTGCAAGAGAGGGGAGGGTGGTCAGGACACCAGCACAGGGTTCAGCCAGAGCTTCGGCCTTGGCTGCGCCAGCCTGGTGGCCAGTGGTGGTGGAGGCACGGAGCACAGGGGTGGGTCATGGGACACAGGCCACAGGCCACATGCCACGTGCACACCTGGAGGCACCTGCCTTGCCTTGGTCCCTTCCTATGATGGCTGCTGCCGCCAAGACTCACCAGAGCTGGGGGACAGGGTGGAGGGTGCAGAAGCCCTTGGAGAGGTGGCCTCCTCCCTCAGATATCTCCTAGGCCAGCCCCCGACTGCCTGGATGGGACCATTATTGCTTTAGAGGGACAGGGAAGGGCAAGAGCTGCGGCCTGGGTCAGGAATCCCAACAAGCAAGGGCTGCCCCTCTTCACTCCGCAGGAACTCTGGCTGGGGCCGGGGCCGGGGCAAGCTGCCCTAAAGGTTTCACTCCTTTCTCCACATGGAAGGGGTGCTGAGGGTGGGGTACGGCCCTCCCCACGCCCCAGCTGGTCCTGGGCCCACCTCAGGTGGCCAGGTGGGCCCGAGGGTAGGATGGGAAGCAGTCTCCACCCCTCTTGCCTCCCAGCTGGGGTCCAAACCCAGTCCCAAGATAAAAAAATACTTTGGTGAATTAAAAAGTGCCCAAGGAGGGGATTGGCTTGAGGGGGTGGGCAGTGGGCTCATCAGAGGGCGCTCTGGTCTTTGATAAAGGCGGTCCTCTCGCCCCGGCCCTCGTCCTCTTCTGAGTCAGACGGGCACTCCTCCTGCCAGGCTTCAGGGGGCAGCCCCTTGTAGGAGATGAGGCCACGGTCCATGGTGTACACCTTCACCCCCCGAAAACTAAAGCCAGAGCGCAGCTGCAGGACCAGGAAGACAGTGACGAAGACCAGCACGATGAAGGCGCAGCTGAGGCCGGCCACCACCTCAGGCAGGTGTGAGGGCAGCAGCCCTGCCCGCAGCCGTTGCCCCGCCTCCACCTCCGGGGGCAGCCGAGGTGGCTGCTGCTGTGGCGGGGACTCTCGGCTGCTCTGGCTTTGCCGGGAGCAAGTCTGCTCCACAGGGTCCAAGGAGGCGTGGCTGGGGCAGCTGAGGCAGTCTGTCAGGGCCGGCCCCTGGCATGTGGCACATGAGGCGTGGCAGGGGGCGCAGACGCTGGCCCGGATGGTCTCCACGTCATTCTCGGTGCTATAGTGCGTATCGAGGACTTGGGGGGCGAACCCTGGAGGGCAGTGCTGGACACAGCTCTTCTGGTGCAGGGAGAAGCCTTCCTCGCACACTGCCGGCGTGGGAGAGAGGGCAAGTGTGTGTCAGCTAAACAGACTGTAGCCCCAGGACCACAGCAGCCCCAAGCCAAGTCACCACATCCCCAGGATCCTCCAGCCCCAGGACTGTGGTCATCCCAAGAGCCCCAGGGGCCCTAGGTCTCTTGAGACTTTTTTCTGTTAGAGCTGGGCTTCAGGACAGGCACCCGCCTTACCCCCAGACTCAGGCCCCCAAAGCCCAACAGCACCCACTACTGACCCACACAGGCCTGACTGGACGTGAGGGTCTTGCAGCCACTGCTTTCTGGAGGTACGGGCAGCCCCTCAGGGGCGGTGCCATAGAGTACGAGGGTGAACTTGGTCAGCGTCCCTGTTCCAGAGCGGGGAGGAGGCAAGAGTTAAGACAGTGCTGGCACCACACCCAGTGCTCGAGATCCTGCCAGCCCTCCACCTCGTACCCCTACCCCTCAAGTGCCCCCAGTACCATAGTTGTTGGCTTCGCTGGTGTTTTCAATCTCTAGGACCCACTCGCCAGAGGGATCCTCATCCCAGGAATGAGTTGTCATGAAGGCCCAGTCATTAAACCCATCTGCGGAGTAGTCATGTGGCCTGGGGAGGGGAGTGCACACAGCCCTGAGGCCTCTGCGGGACCCCAAGCCAGGGACATCTAACCCACAGCACATGGGCCACACACCCTTCCCCCACGCAGACCAACCCCATGGGGCCAGAAGTGCCTGCTGGCTTGGCTGTTTCTCAGTGAGCCAGACGTGCTCAACTGGGGGATTCTAGAAAGGTACACAGGCACCGCACAAGGTGGGGCACACTACTGACATTAAATGGTTGCAAGCCAGGGATTCCTGCAACATGGGACAGTCCCACAGGACAAAATTGTCCCTCCCAAAATGCCAAGAGTGCCCCACTGAGTAGCACTCAGTGCCCCCTGGGCCGTGTGAGCGAGCAAAGGCAAGCACGCGGGCTGTGAGAGGCGGCGGCGCTGGGCAGGGCGGGCAGGGACAGAGCAAGCACCTGGCTGCCAGCAGGGTGGAGCGGGTGCCCATGGGGCTGACCAGGTGGATGGCCAGGTCGCCACGGCGATTATAGGACAGGGTGAGCCGCGCCTGAGCGTGCTCCAGCCGAGTGATGTGGTTGGGCTCGCCCAGGCACGCGGTCACGGTCTTCCGCACCTCGAGCCGTTTCCCGATGTCTCTGTGCAGGAGAGCACCATGATGGTCAGCCTGGCCCAGAGGGACCAGCGGGCACCCCCTGCGACTCTCAGGTCCCACTGGCCCCCTCCCAGCCTGGGTCCAGCCCTCACTTGGGCTCGGTGAGGATGTCGATGATGCACTTCCGCTGGGGGGCCACTGTGGTCCAATTCTGGGCCAGGGCCACCATGGCGCCTGCGTCCAAAAGCCCGTAGCCATATGAGTGGCTCACTGTGGGGACAGGGAAGGTAGGGTCAGCTGTCAGGCACAGAGTGCCTTCTACCTAACTCCACATCCAGCCTGCCGGGCCAGCCTGCCCTCACCTTTCCGGCCCACACCATTGGTGGCCCAGTCGTTGGCATTGAGGTGGGCTGGCTTCGAGGTCTGTACCACCAGGTGTTGCATGTCCCGCCATGTGAGGTTCTTACTGCAAAGAAGGAAGGGAGAGGCTGGGGATCAGTCTTTTTTGGGAGCAGCTCTCCAGCTGCCCTAAGGGCTGCCCTACAGAGAGTGCTGGTAGGGACAGGGTTGCCGCTGGCCCCCACCCACTTACTTGGCCTCCAGGGTGAGAGCAATGATGCCGGCTGCTAAGGGGGCAGAGGCTGAGGTGCCCGTGTGAGACTCCGTGCACTTCTGCCGCAAGTCAGTCGTCACCTGCCAGGAAGAGAATCATATTGGGGCCTGTGATGGGTGGAGGGGGCTAGAGGAGCCACCTGCCTACCCTCCCTCTGCATACAGGCCCTGGGCACCACAGATGGTATGGGGAGCCAGGGCCAAGAACCCCAGGTCCCAGCTGCTGCCTTGCTAACTTGCCGTGGACATGCTAATGACGAGCCCCTCCTGGGCCTCATTTTCCAAAGGAATAAGGGGGTTCAACTAGAGGGTGGAGATGAATAAGAACAAAGTATGTTTTTAGAGAGAGTCTAGGCTTTTCAAAGTCTTCAGAGATGGCTCCATGGCCTCCAAGAACCTACAGAGCCCCAGAGTTCATGTTGCATGATGCCTGAGCCACTATCACCCAGCCACATGGGGGTGGAGGCAGACAGCCTCCAAAAGAGGGTGCTGGACAGAGCCAGCCAGCAGCCCCATCTCCCCAGCCCCCACCCCCAGGTAAGACTCACGATCTGCTTCTCATTCTGGTTGCCACTGCTGTAGGTCGTGGCCAGTGTGGACGAGCAGGCCTCGCTGTACCACGGCACGTTGCCAAACTGCGTGGCGCTGCTGATGGACAGCGTGTAGATACTGTTGGTGTAGCCGTCGCAGTTGCAGCTGTCATGTTCCCGGCCCCCGTTCCCCGAGGCCCAGACAAAGATGGAGCCCAGCCCCCCTCGGCCCTGTGGACAGAGTGGGCTGGGGTCATTCAAGATTGGGACTTGAGGGAGGGCTGGCAGGAGGACACTGCTGGAAAACTGGGAAGGCTGGAGCCTCATTCTCTGGGAACCTCCTGTCCCCTGTGAGATCCCTGGTGGATCAAGTATGTATCCAAATATGTCTATCTAGGCACACAAAAAATCAGACCAAGAGGCCAAGGCGGGAGGATCGCTTGAGGCCAGGAGTTTGAGACCAGCCTGGGTAACACAGCAAGACCTCATTTCTAAAAAAAATGTGTTTTTTAATTAGGCAAGTCCAAGTGGTATATGCACTCTACTCTTCTTCTGTCCCTTAATGTTTCAATAAACATGCTTTGTGTAAAGTTAAACATGAGAATAAATAAAACAAACCAAAAAACACAAGATAGGTACGGAAGACAGCACCCAACCTGCCCGCAGGGGCTGGACAGATCCCCACCTCACCTGGCTAACCCCACGGAAGAAGGCCTCCTCGGCGAGGCGGGCTGGCCCATCCACTGTCTTGCCGTCATCCTCGGGGCCCCAGCTGGCACTGTAGATGTGGATGTGGTTGGGGTTCAGGCCCAGCGAGCGTGCCTCCACTGCATCTGTCACCTCGCCATCCAGCATGCGCACCCCTGGCCGTGAAGGGGGGGCACGAAGAGGGATGCTGCATGGGTCCAGCTGTCAGGGCCCCCACCCCAAGGAGCACACCCAGCCCTGCACCCCAGGGGATGAGTAAGGGAAGGGTGGAGGCTGATGCTGAGAAACCCTGAACCCCCAACTACCTGTTTGCCTCTGCCTTTCAAAGACAAGACCCAGAGAAGGAAAAAGAGAACACCTCCTGCCCCCAACCACACATTCAGGACTAGAAAGAGTCTCTGGTTCCCAAAAGAGCCTGGTGATCAAGGATCTGCCACGTGAGGACTCACAGTGGGTCGTGAGGATTTCAGGAGACTCCTGCTAGGAAACCCTCACTCCACAGGGGTCCAGCTCTTTCAGTCTTTGACCCTTTGGGAACCCTCCATGGAACAGCCACGTGATCAAAGGATCCACAGTGGGAAAGTGGCAGGCATTGGCCAGATGGGAAGTGGGCGGGAAAAATTCCACTGAAGGGCCCTCCTGAAGACAGGGTGGCCCAGGCCCACACTCACCTCCAATGCGGGCGTTGTAGGCCACACCTACACCACAGACACCGTTGTTGGCCACCGCAGCCACTTCCCCCGCACACCGTGTGCCGTGCCTGCCAGGGCCAAGCACGTAGCATGAGTAGAACAAATGGGGTGAACAGGGCCCGGCAGATGTGGCCTGAGGAGCACGAGGGATCCGCACATCCGACACCCATCATCCCCTGAGTACCCAGCCCCCATCTCCCACACTCCACTGGGCCTGTGGCCATCTCCACTCTGACCGAGCCCTCCCTCAGAGCCCCAGGTGGGCCAGGACTGTGGGAAAAGCCTCAGCCTTTTAGGCAAGGCACATCTCACCCAGGCTCAGCCCTGTTCCTTAGTGGAAGAAAGGAGAAGGGAGGCAGAGACCGGGGCCTGCCACTTCTTACCTGTTGTCATTCATCTGTGTGTACCGAGGCTGGGGGTCAGGGTCCTGGTCATTGACATCAAAACTGGCCCCAGGATCCTAAGAAGGATTTGGCCACCATCAGGAGAAGGCTGACCTCACTGATAGAACAAGACAGCCTCTAGACACACCTCAGCAGGGATCACGGCCTCCCTCCCCGACTTCCTCACATAATTGCCTGCCAAGTCCGGGTGGTTCTTCTCGATGCCATCGTCCAGAATGGAGACCACAATGCCGTGCCCTGTGTAGCCCTGCGCCCAGGCCGCCTTCACATTCAGGTCCCGCTGAGTGACACCAGACTGTGGAGACACCCACCCCATCACTTATGAGACATGATTGGTTTTGTGAGGCTAGGAGCATCTTGAAGAATCCCTTTGCCCCCGTAAAACCTCCTCCTGTACCATCCCTGCTCCTGAAAGGCCGCCACTGGCTGTCTGGACTCCATGGGAATGTAGAGGACTCTGGGAGGGCCACCCCCAGGCTTGCTTATTAGGATGGGCCAAGGAGAGACTGCCCAGCAGGAGGAAAGGAAACGAATCAGAGGAGGCCTCGAAGACAGCCTCCTCCATCCAAGAGCTCATAGTGGGTGGATGGTGCATCTGGGGAGGAGGTCCCAGCAGCGAAGAAGGCCACGTACCAGGTACCACTGCTGAGGAAACTTGGGGTCTGTGGGCTCCTGGTACACGTCCCGTTTAGTCCGTCGCTTTGCCACCTGCTGTTCCAGCCACTGTACCTGTGGGGGAGTGAGGGAGAGATGGTGTGGGTGGAGCAGGAGGCGAGAGGGGCTCCTGAGAGCAGGAGGGGGAGGGTGGCAGCAGGAGGGGGCTGGGGCCACACTCACTTGAGGCTCCCTCTGCAGCCGGCTGTGCCGCGGGCGGTGAGGCGACAGGGACCGCTTCGTCACTCCTCGATGCCAGAAGTGGTAATAGTCCCCGAAGATCTGCAATAGAGCAGGGAGACTGAGCTGGGCTTTCCATCTGTCAGTCCCCGGGAGGCGGGGGACGGGGGTGGACAACGGCTTCATGGGAGGCTCGCCACGGTCGGGGGTGCGGGGCATCTGCTCCCTGTCCGGGACCCAGCAAAATGCGGGGACCATGAGGACTCACTCTCACTGGGATATGCTGCTTGCCTGAACCACCTGTGCTTTGCTCATGGCCACCCAGAACATGCCGGCTACCCAGATGCCCCTGAGCAAACAAGGCCAACAGCTCCTGCTCCCAGAATCCCTGTCTTCTCTGGTCCCACCCCCTGGCAGTGTCCTGTGGGGGAACACCTACCTGGCCCAGGTTGAGGAACCCATGCTTCCGTGCCACACTGTTGGCCACCGCTGGGCCTCCAGGGATGCGCACAGCCCACGTGTTGGTGAAGACCTTCTGGCCCTGAGCATCAGCTGCTAGCAGGACCAAGGTTCCTGTTGCTGCTACCACCCATAGCAACCAGGGCCTCAGCTCCATGGGGGGGACAGGTGGCTGGGACCCTGGAGCGCCCGTCTCCTTGGCCTGGTCACAGGGCCTCGGCTCCCAGGTGCCTGCTCACTGCCTGTGGCCCGGGGCTGACTGGTGGGGGCATGGGGCCGAGACGGGCAGGGCTCGGGAGGGTGAAGAGTGCCGACCCTGAGAGGAACAAGAGGGGAAAAGGGGAGAGAGGGTCAGTTCCTCCCCTGCTACGCACTAAAGCTGCCCTGCCCACCCCAAGTTTCAATTGGGGCCTGAAATGAGATCTGGGGGAGAAGGGTAAAAAAATTAGTCCTCCCCAGAAGAAATCTAGCCCCCAAGGCCAGCCACATAGATGGACAGATGGATGCCCTCACAATCCCCCCCAATCCTTTCTCCATGCAAGAATATAAGAAATGTAACAGAAGGGCCAGGCATGGTGGCTCACTTCTGTCATCCAGCACTTTGGGAGGCTGAGGCGGGTGGATCACCTGAGGTCAGGAGTTCGAGGCCAGCCTGGCCAACATGGTGCAACCTCGTCTCTACTAAAAATACAAACATGAGCCAAGTGTGGTGGCGGGTGCTTGTAGTGCCAGCGACTTGGGAGGCTGAGGCACAAGAATTGCTTGAGCCCAGGAGGTGGAGGTTGCAGTGAGCCAAGATCGCGCCACTGCATTCCCAGTCTGTGCGACAGAACGATACTCCCTCTCAAAAAAAAAAAAAAAAAAAAAAGTGTAACAGAAGAAGCAGGATGAAGACTATCAAGCCCTGAGTCACTCAAAATCAGAAACAACAAATGAATAAATGTTCACCATGATCAAGGTAAAGAAGATGCATTATAAAGCAGTATGTACACATAATCCCATTTTATTTTTTAAAAACTATTTATACATGTATATTTATACAAACTAAAGCGAAATCTGGAAGGATACACACGCTAAAAAATGTTAACGGTGGTTCTCTCAAGATGGTGAGAATTACAAGTAATTGTTATTTTCTTCTTTGTGTCACTGTATTCTCCAAATCACCTAGGTATGTTTTACATGGGAATAAGATGTTGGCTTTTCAAGGTTCTTAAATGAATGGCATCTATACAACTCACTAGGGTTTCCTAGTTCAGCAAAGCAGATTCAGCCATAGGGAGTTATTCGCAAAGCCCCACAGCTCCTAGGAAGAAAATGGGTGACCCTAAATGGGATGGTGCTTTTAGGGGCCATGTCCTGAGGGGGTGCGGGGGTGGAGATCACAGAGGCTTCACCTCCCTCTATGGCTGAGATGGCCGCTATCAGCAAAGTCAGGGCCCCAGACTCGTTTTTACAGTTTCCTGGGGAACGCTGGGGCCGCCAAGCCCTGCCCTGCCTGGGCCTGGAGGCCCCCAGCTGCCCCCTTGCTTGCTCCACGCCCACCAGCCTTGCGTAATCCGAGCCCAGGCAGCCAGGGCAAACACTGGCTGCTGAGCCAGGAGCGCCAAGGTGAGACTGAATCAATAGTCCGAGTGTTGTTTTTCCTCCTTCAGCAAACAGACGGCGGGACCTCTCTCTGCCCGGGGCCACATAACTGTCCCCACATAGTGCCCCTGACTAGCCAGAAGCCAAGGCCCTGGAGGAAGGGGGGGAAGCTAGGGGAGGTCCCAGCAGTGCTGCTGGGGGTATCCCATATCAGTGCCAAGCTCCCTGAGCAGCAGCAGGGCCCTGGATGCCCTTAGCACTTCCATAGCCAAGGCCACTCTGCCGGATACCAAAAGGAAGGCACCCCAGCTCACGTAGGCCCTGGGGAGCTAGAGAGGCAGGCTCACCACAGAAAACTCCTTGCTTCTCCAGAAGCTGCCCTTAGACACAACCGGCCTCCCTGACTGCTGCAGTCCCACCCTGCAGGCTGGGGGTACTCCACACACAATTCCTGGAGTATTTTCAGTTTGGACCAAAATAACCTGACAGCTGATGGCAGGAGACATCTACAATACAGCTCCTGCACATCCCTGCGGGCAGACTCCACAGGACTTCCAGGGCAGGCCTCGGAACCACAGCCCCATGGTGCTTTGGGTGGTTGGTTCCAGAAAGCTGGCCTGATCAATGGCTGGGCAGCTAGGCGCCCCAGCCCTAGGGGATGGAAGGACCGCCCCCCCCACCCCAAGTCCCTCATTTAACAGAGGATGTGGGACCCTGGGAGCAGAGCCATATAGGAACGGGGCCTCATCTCTCTCCTCTCTCTTGCTGCCACAACAGCTGCCTCTTGGGTCCAGATGTCATGCAACCACCCCCCTGCCCCCACCACCACCAACCACCGTGCTGTGAGTCCTGCTGGAGCCCCCAAATCGAGGCTGGGTTCATCTGGGTCTAGCCCAGATTCCAGCACACTGTAGATGGAGCCGCAGCTGTTTGGCGTTAAAAGTGATTAACCAACTATTTAATTACCTTGCAGCACTCGGAAAGAAAGCAGGCGTCAGGCGCAACTGAACAGTCCCCCCAAAGAAAGAGGGCCAGCCTCCCTCTATCCAACAACCCCAGCCATGGTGAGGGGTGGGGATGGCTTCCAGAAAATGAGACCCCCACAGACGGCTCTGCCACAGCATGTGGGACAAGGGAGGATCCCCGAAAAGAGTAAGAACTGAAAACAATGAATGAATGGGTTTCTCCCCACCCCCATCCCAGACTCTGACTCACCCTCTAGTCCCAGTTTGTCTCAAACCTGGAGGCTTGCTGTATTTCTCATGGTCTTGTTTCACATGGGACTCTGTTCCAGGCTGTGGCCAGAGAGAGCTGTGGGTGCTCTTCCTGGCTGTGTTCTTGGGCAAAGCCCTTTTCTCCAGCACCAGAACCTCCTGACACAGAGAGCCACTCTGGGCCACTCAAATTGCGCCTCACCCCAGGACCGACTGCTGTTTCCCAGACACTGGGGGTCTGGCTCTGACACAGCCACAGAGCAGGCCACGGGAGGGCCACTCGGACACCCAATCAGTCTCTCCCTCTAGCAGAGACACCACGCGGGGTCCTGTTACCAGCCCTGGGAGGCTCCCGTGAATTTATCGCTCCCAGTCCCTGCCCACTATTTGCTGGATGATCTTAACAAGTCACTTCCTCTCCCTGGGCCTCAGTTTCCTTGGTGGTAAAAACTGCTGGACCAGCGGCTTTCAAACTTTTTAAAAAGCCACAGAATCCTTTTTAAAAATCAAATGCTCCGTAGAAGCCCAATATAGGAAATAGTAAAACGAGGGCTGCCCTGCTTGAGAAGAGGTCAGGCTTGGCTAATCTCCTATGCTGTGTCCACACCTGCTCAGCACCCGCCCTCACCAGGCCATATCACCCGGGTTCTCCTCGCACTTCCCAAGTCAGAATAGGAATCCCAACACTCTCCGGTGGATGAGGGTCTGCACCCCAGGGGCCAGGGGGTAGAGGATGATGGGAAAGCGGGTTCTGACCAGACAAGTGACTGCCGTCAGACCTGTCTGGCAAGCAGGCCGCCCCTTGGTCCAGCCACACAGCGGGGGCACAGGGGCCTCGGCCAGGCCGCGGCAGAAGGCAGCCCAGGGACCTACCTGCGCCGGCCGCCGGCGCCCGCGGATCCCGCACCCGAGTCCTGGCCGCACAGGTGTGCGGGCGGGGGCGAGGCCCAAGCGAAGGAGCCCCCGCCTCGCCCCCGGCCGCTCCTCCCCTCCCCGGGCGGAACGCAGGCCCTCCTCGGCCGCGGAGTGGGCGAGCCGGCGGCAGCCCCGGTGGCGGCGGGGAGGCTGGAGCACCCGGCGCCTGCGGAATTTTCTCCCCATCCCGCCCCCAGCAGGGGCCCCGCAGGCGCTTCCTGAGGTCAGAGGGCTCGCCCTGGCCCCACGCGGAAAAGTACCAGCCACGGCCGGGGGGCCGAGACGGGCCCGGCGCGCTCAGGTGGGCTGCGGAGCGCCCTGTCTGCTCCCGGCAGCTCCACCCTCGGGGCCGGCCCCGGGGCCAGTTCCGGAAAGCCGGCGGGCAGCCGGGCCCCGGGGGACCCGGGTCAGGGCTGCACCGGCGCCAGTGCCCCGACCCTCCCCGGCCCGAGCACCCGGGCCGCGGAGCCCGCTCCTGGGGCAGAGCTCCACGGCCCGGCCCGGCCGGCTCCCCTCGGGCCCGGCTCCCAGACGCGCTTGCCTTCCCCGGGCCCCGGGCCCCGCGCCCTCGCTACTTACCCTGGGGAGCCCTGGCGGGGAAACTTTTCCAGGCGACCGCCGCGGCGGCTCGGGCGCCCCTCGGCCGCCCATGCCGCCCGGGCCCGACTGCGGGCCCGCGTTCCCAGCGCCGTGGGCCCCAGCGCGTCCGGCCCCGCGCGGCGGCCCTGCGGGGCCTTCTGGGGCGCCCGCTGCCTCCGGCTCCTGGTAGGGGCAGGTAGGAAGTGGGGCAGGCGATCCCAAAGTCCTCGCGGCCGCCCGGCGCGTCCCTCAGGCCCCGCTGCCGTGCCCCCGCCCCCGGGCTCGGCTCTTCGCCCCGCGAGCTCCCCGGGAAGACGGCCGCGGAGACCCGAACTCGGAACCAAAGGGAAAGGCTTGGGGGAGGCACTCCGAGCCCTGCCTCAGCCGGACTCTTGGGGGACTGGCCCTCTCCGTCCCCCGCTTCCCCACTCCTGGGCGACGAATTTGAGCCTGACCGGGTTAAGTGCCCAGGGACGGCGGACCTGGGGTCCTCCACTCCCAGGTCGAGGGAGGACTGCACGGCGGCAGGACCAGCCTCCTCTTGGCCTACTGTTAGAGGAGTCACGACTTCGTCTGCATTTGTATAGACAGGTGGATATATGAGCAGAAGTAGCCCACCTCCTTTTAATATTTTTAGCTTTTTTTTCTTTTTAGACACCAACCGCTTGCCAGGCACCAGGCCAGTCACTTTACATTATCTCCTTCTTATGTACATGATTTAATCCACATAATCCTTTCAGGCTGAGATTATTAATCCCATTTTACAGATAAGGAAACTGAGGCGCACAACGTTTAAATAATTTGCGCAAAGTCCCACAACCAGCAGACCTCAGATCCTGCAAGAGACTGGGGTGTTTGGCAGAGCCTGAATCCAAGCTACTTGCAATATACCAGCCGGAGCCTCTCCCTCCCTGGGCCCTAGAAAACGTTTGTGCTACTTGGCTGAGGCCGACGCTGCTTGAGCTGAGAAAGAAAAGAAGGAAAATGTGGCCAGGAGCTTCCCAGGCTGGGTTATTCCAAGGTCGCAGAGTAGCCTGTGCCCATCTCTTCTCGCTCCCTGTGAGATAACCTGGCTGCACAGGATCAGCCTGTGGCCTCCTTAACACAGGTTCCCGGGTAATGGGAAAAAAAAAATCCACTGAGTGTTTTCTATGAGCCAGGCACCATTGAGAGCTCTTTTCCTGTGTCAACCCGTTTTATCCTCACCACATGCCCCATGAGGTGGGTACAGTACATTTTCCTTTAAGTACCTTTGATGTATCACTGTCTGCATTTTATAGAGGAGGAAACTGAGGCCCAGAGAGGTTAAATCATGATAATTCTTAAGGCAACTGGTGAAAAATCAATCAGCAAACCGGTTCAAATCCCTGGGGCACTATTTTTTGCTGGGACACCTTAGACAAGTTAATTTCTCAGGGACTTCCTCAATTTACCCCTCTATAAAATGGAGATAATATTTAGTGAATGGGATCAGGTACGATTCGGGCACCTTTACAAACACTGCAAGAACTGGAAACTGGAGGAACAATGCTGGGTCCTCAAAGTTGAGCGGGAAGATAAGTCCAGTTGGCCTTGTCCCAAAGTGGGGACTTCCCCTCCGCCAAGGAACTAAGACTTGTAGGGGCCACACTGGGTAGCGCCAGCCACAGTTGGGAGAACAATACTCCAGCAGTCAGACTGAGGCAGGAAGTGACTCACGCTTCTTCCTTAGGCTGTGAGCAAGAGAACTCCATTGAGGGGAAACAGGGACAGGGCTGGCCCCACCTACCCACTTGTCCTCAGGCCTAGAAGAAAGGTCAGCCCAGAAAAATAGCAATACTTGCTGCTTCAGGTGCCCCACCCATCCTGGAGACTGGCCCCAGGGGAGCCCGCAGTGGGTCTTTGGAGGGGGAGGGGCTAGCCTAGGCTCAGATGACTGCCACCCAGGCAGAGGCGGTGGGAAGTGGAGCTTCCCAGTTTCTTCCAGCCAGCTTGCCTCTTCAATCTGCATAAGGCAAAATTCTTTAAAGTGGGTTCTCAGAGGTGCCTCCCTGAGAGGGAGGAATGAGGACAGGATTGGGCAGTTGAGCACCTCTCTCTGCTTCACCCAGAGTGTCTCACATTTTAGGGTTTCACATGAGATTGTATTTTACAACAATTCTGCTGCTAAAAAGAATTTGAAAGCCACTCTCTGTGAGACTTCTCTGGAAAAAAATCCCATTTGACCACAACTGGTGACTTCTGCCTTTATCTCATTGCAACAAGTCCTGTGGGCAGGTATTGTTCTCTTTATCACTCTCAACTGGCCCTGGAGCCCAGGTCTCCTGACCTGGGGCCCTAGGGGCCCAAGGTCCTCTGGATCCCACCTTACCAGTTTTACACAGCAGTTAGCAGGACTTGGGCATGTGACAGAAGTCTGGAGATGAGTGAGAGGAGCAGGGCCTGATGGGTAAGTGGGGGCTGTAAAGGGGCTCCATTTTCCCAGCAGGGCTCTGGGAGGAAGAGTCCAGCTAGGCCTCTCTTTATCCTTGATTTGGGGCTAATCCAGAGAGGCTCCTGAGAATCACATAGTCCTAAATCCACCCAGTCATCCTGACTCCAAGCACTCCTGTTGTCTCCTTGGGGTGCTCTGGGAGTCTTCTCTGAAATCTCTGGTCCACCTCAGGCACAGCAAATAAAGCCTTCGGCAGCAGCACCCACACCTAGTTGTAAGCAGAATGTCTACACAACATTCAGACGTGCATAGAAGGGTGCACAACAAAATTCCATTGGTGTTCTCTCCGAATGAAAGGGTCACATTTGCGATCTTTGTTTTCTTCTTTTTGCCTACCTGCATTTTTCAGGAATGTCTACAAGAACTCCTAAAATAATTAAACCTTTAAGTCAATGCAAAATCGAATAAAGCATGTCCATACTTCACCATCCAGCTCCAGAGCACCTGGGATTCATCCTGGCCGCTGCTGCTTCCCCGCCACTCACTGCAGCTGCAACAGTCAGGCTCCTATCCCTTCACAGGGCGGGGCCCTTCCAGTTCTGGCTAAACCACTTTGGGAAAACCTTCTTTATATGACAGGCAAACAGGGTGTCTGTGGGTGGGGGGAGGAGCTAAAAGTGATGTGGTGGTGACATATCTGGTCGCACTGGAACTGGATCCTAACATGGCCAGCCAGCCCTTCTCATTTTCCTCATTTATTGGGGTGGGTCTGCACTTACCTTCTGCCTGGCTTTGCTGCATCCCAGCCACTGGCTGACTTAATGACTTCCTTCCGCCAGCTCCAGCTCCTTGTGTTCTGCCTTGCCTTCCATGGCCAGCCAGTGCTGCCACAATTATGTACCTAATAAATGCTTTGGGTGCAGTCTCGCCTGGCAGACATTCATTGAGCAGCTGCTGAACGCTGGGCTCTGGTGCCCCATAGCTGGGTCCCTTAGAGCTTGTCCATAGGAAGCCAGAGACCACCTCTCTAGTAGGGTTGCATGGAGGTACCTGGGACACACCAGGGTCTTCCTCAGTCTGCGACCTCCCTGGCCTTCCAGCTTCAACAAGCCTGCTGCCCATCCTTCTCTCTCTCGATTCAGAAATGTGAATCACTCAATCCTCATAGTTTTTTTTGTTTGTTTGTTTTATGGGTTTGTTTTTTTTTTTTCTAGACAAGAGTCTCGCTCTGTTGCCCAGGCTGGAATGCAATGGCCTGATCACAGCTCACTGCAACCTCTGCCTTCTGGGTTCAGGCGATTCTCATGCTTCAGCCTCCCAAGTAGCTGGGATTACAGGCTTACGCCACTCGTATTTTTTTTTTTTTTTTTTGTATTTTTAGTAGAGATGGGGTTTTGCCATGTTGGCCAGGCTGGTCTCGCACTCCTGACCTTAAGTGATACACCCACCTCGGCCTCCCTAAGTGCTGGGATTATTAGGCGTGAGCCACCACGCCCGGTCCCCTTGTTGAGTTTTCAATCAGTTTGTCATCCTGAACAGGGTTTCTCAACCTTGGCATTATCAACATCTTGGGTCGGATAATTCTCTGTAGGGGACACTGCACTCTACATTGCAGGATGTTCAGTCGCATCCCTAGTCACTAAACATTAGCTGCTAGTAGCATTCCCGCTCCCATGATGACAACCAAAAAGATCTCCAGGTATTGCCAAATGTCCCTTGGGAGACAAAAATCTCTCCCAGCAAAGAACCACTGTCGCAGAATGAGGAGTGGGAACGTCACAGGATGGTGGTTAGTGTGCCAGGGTTCGAGGCAGCAAGAGTTGTCTGCTGGGAACTAAGCTCTGAGACAGCTAGCAGTGAGGGAGAAAACTCCCAAACTTGAAACTGCCCAGTATGCCAGCACAACAATGGGCCGTTTAGTGATCAGGGCAAACAATCATGCATCCTCATGACATCTGAGATCACTTTCCATCGTGTTGGTGATAATGCTGAATCAAGGAAAGGATCAATCATGTTGATCATACTCCATTTTCTAAGGTGGGGAGGTGTGTGAGCCCTTGTAGCATTAAAGACGTATTTGGAAAACAGATCAGTGCTTGCTTGGGGAAGGGGGCAGGGAGGGGCGGGAGGAAACTTTTGGGAATGATGGACATGTTCATTATCTTGATTGTGGTGATGGTTTCATGGGTGTGTCCATATATCAAAACATATCAAGTTGTACACTTTAAATCCATGCCGTTTATAGTGTGTCAGTTATACCTCAGCAAAGCTGTTTTGAAGATGTGTTGTTTAAAGTTTTAGTGCTTGAAGGGCATTATTTTGAAAATTCACTACTGTGGAGTAGTCCATTTCTTTGCTGAATAAATAAGGGGTCACTGTAGTACTTAAAAAGAAAACAGGAAGAAAAAACAAACAGAAGAAGAAGAAGAAAAGCGATCATGGGCTGTAAGGTCGTCCTAGGCAGGGAAGGAAAGGAATGGCGTGAAGAGTTGGCTCAGTCGCCCCTGAGTGTGGCCCGGAGAGCCTGTCCTCTGGCCTACGGCAGGCCCCAGAGAGTCTTTCCGTTGACTGATGCCATCAAATCAACATGTCTGGAACGGTATTATCAGGGACTTGGGAAAAATAGAATGACAAATGTGCTGGCTGCCAGGAAAGGAACAGATGAGTCTGGAAATTATAGGCTCCTCCACAAACTTTAATCCCTAAAACAAACATTGCTGGGGAAAAAGTCAGTTAATACCTGGAGGAGTGTGAGTGCTGTCCTTCAATGGGGCACGGCACACCTGGGAGCAGAGAGCATTTACAGAAGCCAGACACCGTGTGCCAACCTGTGTCAACAGGCTCATGCTCAAGGGGCTGCACGTGGCAGCAGGGAGCACTGCGAGCGGCAGTGAGGGGCCCTCTCTGACGGTGCAGATGCTTTTTGGCTGATGGAGACCTCTACGGAGGTTCTCAGGAGCCCCTCAGCGAGGCGGGTGAGCAAGGAGAGGGGCTGTGATAGCGATGAGTTATATGTGAAAAGAAAAACTGCTTTTGTGGAGGTTGATTGTGCACTGGGCATTTCATTCACTCATTCCTCAGATACTCATTGAGTGCCTGCTGGGTGCAGGACCTCTTCCAGTGCTTCAGTTATAGCGAGGGAAGCAGGCAGTTCACAGGTGAATAAGCCAGTTTATGAGAGAAGTTCAGATCATCCTAAGAGCTCTGGAAGAAAATGATAAAGAAGGTAATGTGGGAGTGCCTGGGGAAGCGGGAGGGCTGCTATCCCTGGGGTGGTCAGGGAAGACCTCTGGGAGGAGGTGATGTTTGAGCTGAGGCTGAAAAAAGAGGCAAAAGTGTAAAGATCTGGAGGAAGAGTGTCCCAGGCAGAGGGAGAGGCAAGGACATGGGCCTGGGGGCATGAGCTTATGCACTTGGGGAGCAGACACTTCTTGGAGCATGGCCGAGAGATGAGATGAGAGGTAGGTAACGGGCTGGATCACAGAGCACTTGCCAAGCTGGGTCCAGATGTTGAATTTAATTATCAGAGCAATGGGCTCTGGATTCTCAAAATTCTTTTGGAAATTTGACTGATTTACCCTTTAATAAAAATTATTTATTTATTTATTTAGAGATGGAGTCTTGCTCTGTCGTCCAGGCTGGAGTGCAGTGGCGCAATCTCGGCTCACTGCAACCTCCACCTCCCTGGCTCAAGCAATTCCCCTGCCTCAGCCTCCCGAGTAGCTGGGATTACAGGCACACACCACCACACCCGGCTAATTTTTTTGTATTTTTAGTAGAGACAGGGTTTCACCATGTTGGCCAGACTGGTCTCGAACTCCTGACCTCAGTCAGTCCACCTGCCTCAGCCTCCCAAAGTGCTGGGATTACAGGCGTGAGCCACCGCGCCCAGCCATTTTATTTTTATATTTTTAAATTTAATTTAAAAGATGGGCTCTCACTCTGTTGCCCAGACTGGCCTCAAGCAATCCTCCTGCCTCCCCCTCCAGAGGTGCTGGGATTACAGGCGTGAGCCACCGTGCCCGGCAAATTTACCCTTTTTAAAGGCTCCTCTGACTACCATGGGGAGTAGAGATATGGGGGTTCGTGTGGGAACCCACCACAGCCCGACGCAGGAGGCACCATAGGTGACCCTCCTGATGTGAAATGTAGGGGACTGGCTTGGGGGAGTCCAGTGACTTTTTTTTTTTTTGAGACAGTGTCACTCTTGTCACCCAGGCTGGAGTGCAGTGGTGCGGTCTCAGCTCACTGCAGCCTCTGCCTCAGCCTCCCCGAGTAGCTGGGATTAGAGGCATGTGCTACCACGCCCAGCTAATTTTTTGTATTTTTAGTAGAGACGGGTTTTCATTTGCTACGTTGGCCAGGCTGGTCTCAAACTCCTGACTTCAAGTGAACCACCTGCCTCGGCCTCCCAGAGTGCTGGGATTACAGGTGTGAGTCACCGCCTTGAGTGACTCTATAAGCGCCCAGCCCCTGAATGACTTACAAACCAGTGAGCAGGTGGTAGGCTCCTGCGCAGGCCTGGGAAGGCTGGACAGGAGGTGAACCACACATCTGACCTGCGAAGTGGGGGCCTCTGCAGGACAAGAGCTGGCGGAGCAGCCAGGCGGGATCCCCCAACCCAACTGCTTAGGTGGGTTCAGGTGCTTCTCTCTAGACCATAGCCCTTGGGCATCTTTAGCCAGCGACTTGGCAACAAAAAGCTGCTTTGAGTTAACAGCTGAAACTCACAGTGAGTTTACGGGCTCATACTCTCAGGCTCTGTGCTCAATGCCTTATAATGATTGCTTCATATATTGCTCACAACAACCCTTGAGGCAGGTGCTGTTATGATCCCTGTTTCACAGATTAGGAAACTGAGGCCTGGACTCGCAGTCACTAAGGAAAATAAAGACCCAGGATTTGAACCTGGGACATAAGAATAGAAAGCCTACACACACTTCAACCGCTCTGCTTTCTGCCTCTACAAGAGAGCTGAACTGTGGCTAAATCAGACACAGATTCACTCAGCCATCGTGATGTGGGTGGCTCAGCTGTGATTCACATTTGACTTTTTCTTGGACAAGAATTGTTCACCTATGTTCTCACAGTAGTACATGCTGATTTTTCTGGTTTCTTTTGTTTTTGTCTGAAACAGTATTGTTCTGTTGCCCAGGCTGGAGTGCAGCAGCTCTTCACAGGTGCCATCAGATCATACTACGGCCTTGAATTCCTGGTCTCAAGGAATCCACCCACCTCAGCTTCCCGAGTAGCTGGGACTACAAGCACATGCCACCATGCCTCCTGAAATTTTTTATTCTTTCGTAAAGACAAGGTCTCACCATGTTGTCTAGGCTGGTCTAGAACTCCTGGTGTCAAATGACCCCTCCCTCCTCAGCCTCCCAAAGTGCTGGGATTACAGGCATGAGCCACTGCGCCTGCCCTGATTTTTTTTTTGTAATATTCATGCTACTGAAGTGCTGAACTGCCCTTCCCCTCTGCAAACTTGTTGGGAGGCTGCAGTGTTGGTGATCAGCCCAGCCCTCGATTCAGATTCAGCTCTGAAATGCTCTTGTATGTCCCTAGGCAAATTACTCAACCTCCCAGGGCCTGAGTTTCCTCCTCTGTAAAATTGGGTAAGAGCAGTACCCCATCATCAGTGACAGCTGTGCCAACCAGCAACAAGGGCTGCTGGGGTTGTGTTCTACCCTCCCTCCTCCTGAAGCAGGAATGCTCTCCCGGTTGGCTGGCCTGCAAGGCTTTTCTGACCCTTCTCTGTTGGCTTAGTTTCATGGCTGAGCCTCTGCTCTGATGGCAGCTTGGTGCTAGCAGGTGATTTTTCTCTTGGGAGAGAGCTGCCAGTCCCCTTGCATGGCTGTGTACTTTCAGTGCAGCCTTTGGTGTGGCCTGGTTCCTGGGTGGCCCACGAGGTGCCCTTGTACCCATTTTGTAAGATTCCTGCTCCTTTGACCTCTTGCCCTGAGGTCAGAGGTCAGCAAACAGTCCTCTGAGGCCAGTACTTCCCAACTTGTTCACATGATGCCACACAGACTACATGGGCAACCCCCTGGGGCACATGGACCAGGCTGACTGAGGCTGGCAGGGCCTTGCTGGCATTGGTCGCCCTGGGACCTGGTGCCTGCTTGGGGGAGGAGAGGATCTATAGCCCATTTCAGGCACACTAGTGGGCAGTGCTCTCTAAGGGGCCTTGGTGGCCTGGCCACATGGGGGACAGGTGGGAACACTGCTTCCCTGCGACAGCCACCTCACTGGGCTTGCTAAGTTCTCTCCTCAAGATATCCTGGCAGGGCCGATCTCCCTGATCTTGTCAGCTTTAGAGAGAAGGAATAATTTCTAAGTAGTGCTCTAGGAAGATTATTTTCCTGAGAACCAACAGGGCTCTATCTGGCTGAGGCAGTCAGCCCCCAACTCGAGCCATGTACGTTCTTTACGGGAAAGAGACTCCTGCAGCTCCCCACCCCTACTCCCGCCCCAATATGCTGATGTCAGTTATTTTTGTGACGTCAGGTATACATTCTCCTTATAGCCCCTATGCAAACATCAATCCAAGATGAATAGGCAATATATGACTTGAAGGTCAAAACTACATGGAAAAATACACGTAAGACAATCTTTCTTCTACCTCCATTCCTTCTGTGTAATCCCTCTCCATAACCAAGTACCAATTTTTATTGGATCTGATTGATCCCTCTGTTATTTCTTTTTGCCAAAAGAAAAAAATATATAGACACATACATATACACACATATACATTTATCTGTATTTTCATACTCCTTATTTTATTTTTGAGATAGAGTCTTACTCTGTCACCTGGGCTGGAGTGCAGTGGCACGATCTCGGCTCACTGCAACCTTCATCTCCCAGGTTCAAGCGATCCTTCTGCCTCAGCCTCCTAAGTAGCTGGGATTAGAAGCGTGCACCACCAAGCTCAGCTAATTTTTGTATTTTTAGTAGAGACGGGGTTTCACCATGTTGGCCAGACTGGTCTCGAACTCCTGACCTCAGGTCATCCACCCGCCTCAGCCTCCCAAAGTTCTGGGATTACAGGCATGAGCCACCACGCCCAGCCTATACTCGCTCATTCTTTTTTTTTTTTTTTTTTTTTTTTTTTGAGACAGAGTCTCCCTGTGTCACCCAGGCTGGAGTGCAGTGGCAAGATCTCAGCTCACTGCAACCTCCACCTCCCGGGTTCAAGCAATTCTCCTGCCTCAGCCTCCCAAGTAGCCGGAACTACAGGTGCGTGCCACCACACCAGGCTAATTTTTTGTATTTTCAGTAGAGACAGGGTTTCACAGTGTTAGCCAGGATGGTCTTGATCTCCTGACCTCGTGATCCCGCCCACCTTGGCCTCCCAAAGTGCTGGGATTACAGGCATGAGCCACCACGGCTGGCCTATACTCCCCTTTTTAATCAAAAGGCAGCATACTACAATTTCTTTTTTACTTAGCAGTACATCTACATCGGAGAAACGTACCTAGTAAATATAAACAAAACTGCAAACCCAATAAAATTTAAAGTAACAATATCTGTTTAATGAGAAGGATGATGTTGTTTGCCTGAAACCACATTGCTACTTTTAGCGATATGGGACTGACCACTCAGAGCGGATCTGCTTTTGAGCTTGACATGTATACAGATGCTGCCATGCTCTGGGGAATGACTCAATTCTCCCCAACCTTTCTCTATTTGAATTACTGCAATACTTTTGTTTGCACAGCGGGCTGTTACATCATTTGGCCTTCACTTGGCTTCAACGCATCATTTACGCATTAAATCCGCCTCTGTTCTTTTCTTGTTAGCCAGCAGCAATTAAACAGGACTACTCGATGCCAGCACAATCATAAACACAAATGCAAACTTGGGCAGTGAAATCCTGTGTCAACAATAAATTGTAAGGTGGTCAAGCCGACGATGATGCGAATGAAAATAATCGTAATGGCCAACTTGCTATGCGCTGGCACCATGCTAAATGTTTTAAGTGCAAGGTTTTATTTAATTCTCCCAGCAACTCTATAATAAAATAAGCACTACCCATTTCACAGATAAGAACATTTAGTCTTAGCGGGATTAAATAACTTGCTCAAGGTCACATGTATCGGAAGTGGTAGAGGCAGCATTTGAACCCATGTCTGTCTGACCCCAGGGATCAGTAAGGGTTTGTGATGGGAGCATGGACCTCACTAAGCTTTTTGCCATCAGTTCCTGGCCATAATTGCCCACCTTGGCCAGGCCTGCTGGGCTGGGCAAGGAAGGTATGTGGAGCCTGGGGCAGAGAGTGGAAAGGGAGTGTGGTGGTCACAGTCCCTGTTGAGACCTGGACTCCTAAGGGCCCCTCTCCCTGAAGTCCTGGGAGAAATTGCACCAAACCTGGCCTTATGACCCTGATTCCTCTCACCCAATATCAAAGTGAATAAATACACACACGCCAAAAATACCACTTGGAAGATAACGATCTATGTCCAGGACTGTAACAATGCCACTCTGTCAGGTCTTGGCGAAGGACTAAGAGTTCCGCATGTTCCTGCGGTGTCCCTGGCTGGTCACCCTAGGCTGGAGCTGGGCAGTGTTCAAGATGAAAGCACAGGGCCAGGCATGGTGGCTTCTGCCTGTAATCCCTGTGCTTTGGGAGGCCGAAGCAGGAGGATGACTTGAGGTCAGGATTTCAAAACCAGCCTGGGCAAGAAAGCATGATAATGACTCCTCTATAAAAAATTTTTTTAAAAAGATGAAAGCACATGCCGGGCGCGGTGGCTCACACCTGTAATCCCAGCACTACAGGAGGCCGAGGCAGGCAGATCACCTGAGGTCAGGAGTTGGAGACCAGCCTGGCCAACACGGCAAAACCCCGTCTCCACTAAAAATACAAAAATTAGCCTGGCGTGATGGCATGTGCCTGTGATCCCAGCTACTCGGGAGGCTGAGGCAGGTGAATCACTTGAACCCAGGAGGCGGAGGTTGCAGTGAGCTGAGATGGAGCCACTGCACTCCAGTCTGGGCAAGAGAGTGAGACTCCATCTCAAAAAAAATAAAAATAAAAAAAAAGAAAAGATGAAAGTGCAGACTTGTGGCCAGTATCTCCCTCTGGCCTTTCACCCTCCTCCCATCCTGTCCTGTCTTACTTCATCTCCCACTTCCTCTCCTGTCACTGCCGTTTGTTCTTTCCCTGTCCTGGGCCTGTCGTTAATCCCCGTTGGAGCTGGAATCTGCAGCTCCAACTTTGTTTAATGAGAAGGGTGAGATAGGGCGGCCAGGAAGGCCTGGAGTCAGAGGCTCAGCCCAAGCTTAGTTACCAAGTCATGGAACAGGTCTGAGCTTCCCATACTGCTGGGGCAACAGATGTGTTAAGTGTACCAGCCCCAAAACGATGACCCGGGGTGTCCTGTGGGGACCTGGCTGCCACCCTCCTTAACAACAGCTCCAGGGTGGGAGTCTGGCCCTCAAAGATCAGGGCAGCTGAGGCCAACCAGGCTCCTGGGGACTGACTCACACTAAGGCATTTACACAACAAATGCCCAAACCCTCTCTAATGCACAGGTACTTCCAGGCCTGCCAAAGCCCCTGTCTTGGTAAGGGTCCCCAGAGAAGGTACACAGAGACCCAAGCCAGCAGCCAGGGATGGTGCCATTGCATCTCTGCACCCACTTCCTCAGATCCAGGCCTGAGAACACAAGCACCCTTCCTCCTCCCCACCAGGACCAGATAGCCCAGCACTTTCCGGTAAGCCTCTTGCCCCACATAGTAATTTGGTTTCAGTTTTCCTAGATCAATACAATTGATTGTGAAAACCCAGTTCCCCTGTCCGTTTGGCTCTAGGTGCCAGGAACTGTTAGAGCTCCAGCTGTGTGCTGCCATCATGCGGCTCCCAGGATGGCCTTCACTTGGCTCCCTATGATTGGATTTGGGTATTCGCAATCTTTTTATCTGGGTTTCAGCTTCTACTAGAATTCAACCCTTCCCTATTACAAAAAAAAAAAATCTAGTTTCTTACATTATGAAAGACATTTCTTTTTTTTTTTTTTTTTTTTTTTTGAGACGGAATCTCGCTCTGTCGCCCAGGCTGGAGTGCAGTGGCGCGATCTCGGCTCACTGCAAGCTCCGCCTCCCGGGTTCACGCCATTCTCCTGCCTCAGCCTCCCGAGTAGCTGGGACTACAGGCACCCGCTACCACGCCCGGCTAATTTTTTGTATTTTTAGTAGAGACGGGGTTTCACCGTGTTAGCCAGGATGGTCTCGATCTCCTGACCTCGTGATCCGCCCGCCTCGGCCTCCCAAAGTGCTGGGATTACAGGCGTGAGCCACCGCGCCCGGCCTATGAAAGACATTTCTATCTTTCTTTTTTTGGAGTCTCACTCTGTTGCCCAGGCTGGAGTGCAGTGGCACGATCTCAGCTGACTGCAACCTCCACCTCCCAGGTTCAAGCGATCCTCCTGCCTCAGCCTCCCAAGTAGCTGGGATTACAGGCATGTGCCACCAAGCCTGGATAATTTGTTTTTTGGTTTTTTTGAGACAGAGTCTTACTCTGTCACCCAGGCTGGAGTGCAGTGGCACGATCTCAGCCCACTGCAGCTCTGCCTCATGGGTTCAAGCGATTCTCCTGCCTCAGCCTCCTGAGTAGCTGGGATTACAGGCAAGTGCCACCAAGCCCAGCTAATTTTTGTATTTTTAGTAGAGATGGGGTTTCACCATGTTGGCCAGGCTGGTCTCGAACTCCTGACCTAGTGATCTGCCTGCCTCAGCCTCCCAAAATGCTGGGATTACAGGCATGAGCCACCATACCCAGGCAAAATCCAGTTTCTTGTGTTATGAAAGACATTTCTAGGTAAGCTCCATCGGCCTTCATTATACATTCCCACGGTCCACCACCTGGCACATCCAGCTCAGCCACACTGGCCTTCCTGCTGTTTCCCCCTCCCTCCCACTACGCTCCTGCCACAGGGCCTTTGCACTGGCCACCCCTCTGCCTGGACCTCTCTTCCATGACACCTGCTTGTCCCAGCTCCCTCATCTCTTTTGGGACTTTTCTCAACTATCACCTTTGCTGACTGCAGGATGTTGAAATGCAAACATAGCACTCCCCGTCCCTCATCCTCACGTCATTTCTCTACGTAGCACTTTTTGCCACAGGACGTCCTCAGTACTCTCACTTGTTTATTGCCTTTCTTCCCCCATGGGAATGTCAGGCCTATGTGGTGGGCAGGGATTTCTGTGTTTTTCTCACTGCTATATCTCTGATGGCTAGACAGTGCCTGGAACCTAGTCGGTGCTCCATCAACAGTTGTGGAATGAATGATTTCACTTTGGAAAACTTGAGTTTACATAATAACACGAAGAAACACACAATATCTATAACCTCCATCCTTTCCAACTGAGCTCCCCGTCTCTGGAGGCATTCAAGTGGAAGCTGGCGAGCCATTTGGTGAGGGGCTGTGGAAAGGATATGTGCACTGGGCAGAGGTGGGATTACGGGACCTCCAATTTTCCTGCTTTCAGGAAAATTCTGGGATCCTGAGGAATACTTTTTGTCTTCCCCCGCAGCCATTGTCTGGGAGTTTTGGAACCACTGACTGACTCTTCGAGCACCAGGCTTTTCCCTTGGTCCTCAGCACTGGGTGGGGAGCCCTACATCCCAGAAGTCTTGGGAAACAGGGTGGAGCGGAATCGCCTATCACAGCCAAACAAGACTCTCCAGGAGGAAATACAGCAGAGACCTGCTCAGGGCTTAGCAAACAGTGACAAAGGTGAGGTGAAGCCAGTCTGGACGCACACCAGTTCGGGATGATCTGAGGAATGTCAGGCAGTCCCTATATCCTCAGATGTGTCCCCATCCACCTGGCACATGTCTGGAACTTCGCCATTACAGAGACTTCAGTGTCTGCTTTTTTTTTTTATTTTTAAATTAATTAATTATTTATTTATTTTTAAAATAGAGATGGGGTCTTGATAAGTTGCTCAGGCGGGTCTCGAATTCCTGGGCTCAAGCGATTCGCCCACCTCAGCCTCCCAAAATGCTGGGATTACAGGCGTGAGCCACCGCACCCAGCCCAGTGTCTGCTTTTAAGATGCACTGTTTGGAAAGTCAGGTGATTCAACATTGCAGCCACATAAACCAGGTCTGAGTTTGCATGTCACCCCTGACTGGGTCAAGAGTGGGTGTGTTTTGGTAATGGGGGCATTTAGAAGCAGGGGCACTGCCAGGAAAGGAGGCAGCCTGAGAACGCTGTTCTATGTGACAGGAATCCTCAGGATCAAAGGCCTTAAGACAACAGTTGTGACCTCACAGATAAACCCCAGAGCAGACACTGGGGCCAGGTATCTGGGACAGGAAGTGGCTGTGAGAAGCAGGAACCAATGTAAAACCCCTCAACAGCCTCAGCATTTCCAAGGGCTCAGTCTTCATAGAAATGGGTTACTAGGACATATCACCTATGGGTAGCATTTGGGGAAATCCTTCAGGGTCCATGTGGACAGGATGTTTGGGGGTTCACATTTATAGCAAACACACAGCACAGAAGCCACTACTGCTGCCTCCTAGCCCATGGCAGACACTGACATTGCCAATCTATCACCATACCGCTGCGGAGCCCTTCTCCCCACAGTGATCCAAAAAGTCACTGCCAATCTATCAGAATTAGCACGAGGCCAGGTGCCATGGCTCATGCCTGTAATCCCAGCACTTTGGGAGGCTGAGGCGGGCAGATCACTTGAGGTCAGGAGTTCAAGACCAGCCTGGCCAACGTGATGAAACCCCATCTCTACTGAAAATACAAAAAGGAGCTGGGCGTGGTGGCACATGCCCATGATCCCAGCTACTCAGGAGGCTGAGGCAGGAGAATCCCTTGAACATGACGGGAGTCAGAGGTTGTAGTGCGCTGAGATCGCACCACTGCACTCCCCTCCCACCTGGGCAACAGAGTGAGACTCCGTCTCAAAAAAAAAAAAAAAAATTAGCACAAGAGGTGAAATGGTGTGGTGGCATGCACCTGATGCCCCTGTAGTCCCAGCTACTCAGGAGGCTGAGGCGGGAGGATGGCTTGAGCCCAGGGGTTCTGGGCTATAATGCACTATGCTGGTCCACACTAACTTCAGCATCAATATGGTGACCTCCCAGGAATGGGGACCACCAGGTTTTCTAAGGAAGGGTAAACTGGCTCAGGTAGGAAACAGAGTAGGTCAAAACTCTTATATTGATCAGTAGTGGGATGGTGCTGTGAATAGCCACTGTACTCCAGCCTGTGCAACATAGCCAGATTCTCCTTTTTTTTTTCTTTTGAGAGAGTCTCTCTTTGTCACCCAGGCTGGAGTACAGTGGCACGATCTCGGCTCACTGCAACCTCCGTCTCCCGGGTTCTAGTGATTCTCCTGTCTCAATCTCTCAAGTAGCTGGGACTACAGGTGCCTGCCACCACACCTGGCTGATTTTTGTATTTTTAGTAGAGACACAGTTTCACCATGTTGGTCAGGCTGGTCTCAAACTCCTGACCTCAGGTGACCCACCTGCTTCAGCCTCCCCAAGTGCTGGGATTATAGGCATGAGCCACCACGCCCGGCCGCCAGATCTTCTCTCTTAAAAAGAAAAAGAAAAGAAAGAAATGTGTCTTTACTGTCCCTCCCCTTCAGGAATCACAGGGTTAGGATTCCACAGAAGAGAAGAACAACTGGGACTCAGGGAGGGAGTGAGACCGGGTCCAGGTCACACAGGGCATCAGTGGGGAAGGCAGGTCTGGAGCTCTGAACTTGCCACAGACCCAGATGCTGTCGCCTGTGACTGGACAGTTGGGCCGGGAGACAGAGCACATGTGTCCATTCCCACGCCCACATACACGCCCAGTGGAAGAAGCCATTCCAGCCCCACATGTCAGCCAGCGCAGAGTGCGAAGTCCCAGGGCGCTTGGGGTGACCTTCTACAGTTTGGACTTTCTGGACTCCAGGAGTCAGCTGGGTGCATTGGGAAGATGTTGGGGAGGCCTAGAGCCCAGGATCTGGCAGCTGACTCGACATGTCCATGTGAGCCTTTGCCCCTAGCCTGTGTCCAGGGCAAACTCCCCAGTGCCCTCTGAGAGAGGCAGCCGGGCCTGGCCCAGCAGGATAAACCTTGCCTTGCGCTGGTCCCCAGTCTGGACAGGCCATGTCCACTCTCTTGGCTTCAGATGCTTGATCCATCCATGAGGAAGTTGGCCTGTGGCTTAATTTTGCAGGGCCTCCATTTCTTCATCCATTAAATGGGGGTACTGATACCTCCCCTGCTGAGGTGTCACAAGAATGGGATGAACTAATTCATAAAATGTTTGGCATGGCATCCTGCACACAGCAGGTGCTCAGGGAGGACACCTGGGATTCTGACTTGGCCTAGGGACTTTCCCAGTACTAAGAGCCCAGCCTGTGACCCACACCTTCCCATGGGAACCATCCACCCCACACCAGCTCTGTCGTCACTGGAATTGAAATTTCTTGGCTGAGCTTGGAAGGTGAGAAACTTGATTTCTGCTGATTCTGGAGAAGGACAAGGAAGATGAGAGTGCTCTCTTTATCTGAGAAGCAGCTCAGAAATTTTCAAACAGTTGCCCACGGTGCCCATGTTCTCTCTGTGGTCTCCGTGTGTGTGTGTGTGTGTGTGTGTGTGTGTGTGTGTGTGTGTGATAGAGGCTCCTCCCGTTCATGGAGGGGATTCCCAGTGTGGTTGGGGACCCGGGGTGGGTAGATCAGTGAGTCTCCTGCTTGGAAATGTGTACCCGTGCCCATTCTGGCTTCCCAAGGGTCATTCCATGAGTCCTCAGCCTCGCTGTGTGCCCCCCCACTCCCCATCACACAGGTGATGTGGGGAAACAGGCAGAGGGAGCACTGCATGGGAGGAGGAAGAGTTGAGTTTGCTTGGTCTACAGTGGTTTTTGTTTTTGTTTGTTCTTTTGAGATGCAGTCTTGCTCTGTCGCCCAGGCTGGAGTGCAGTGGCACAATCTCAGCTCGCTGCAAGCTCCACCTCCCGGGTTCAAGCGATTCTCATGCCTCAGCCTCCCAAGTAGCTGGGATTACAGGCGTGTGCCACCACACCCGGCTAATTTTTGTATTTTTAGTAGAGACAGGGTTTCGCCATGTTGGCCAGGCTGGTCTTGAGCTCCTGACCTCAGGTGATCCACCTACCTTGGCCTGCCGAAGTGCTGGGATTACAGGCATGAGCCACTGTGCCCAGCCTGTGTTTTTTTTTGTTTGTTTGTTTGTTTGTTTTTGAGACAGGGTCTCACTCTTGTCACCCAGGCTGGAGTGTGATGGCATGATCATGGCTCACTGTAGCCTCGACCTCTCTGGGCTCAGGTGATCCTCCCATCTCAGCCTCCCAAGTTGCAGGGACTACAGGTGCATGGAACCATGCCTGGCTAATTTTTTTATTTTTGGTAGAGACATGGTTTTGCCATGTTGCCCAGGCTGGTCTTGAATTCCTGGGCTCAAGTGATCTGCCCACCTCAGCCTCCAAAAGTGCTGGGATTACCGGTTTGAGCCACCACACTTGGCTGGTCTACAGTGTTTTAAAACAAAAAACAGCCCATCATTTAGAATTAAAAGAAAAAAAGCAGCTGGCTATAAAATAATATATATAAATAAAGTTTATATACATACACTGAAAAAAAGACTGGAGGGAAATACACCAGCCAACTAGAGTGATTGTTCCTGGGTGACAGGCTTGAGGCTGGATTCTTATTTTCCTTTTTTTTTTTGTTTTTTGAGACGGAGTCTCGCTCTGTTGCCAGGCTAGAGTGTAGTGGTGCAATCTTGGGGCTCACAGCAACCTCTGCCTCCCGGGTTCAAGCGATTCTCTTGCCTCAGCCTCCCAAGTAGTTGGAACTACAGGTGCACGCCACCATGCCCATCTAATTTTTGTATTTTTAGTAGAGATGGGGTTTCACCATGTTGGACAGGATGGTCTCGATCTCTTGACCTTGTGATCCGCCTGCCTCGGCCTCCCAAAATGCTGGGAATACAAGTGTGAGCCACCGTGCCCGGCCGCCTTTCAAACTTTTTGATAGTGAATATGACTTGCTTTTACCATCAGATGCAACAATAGCAAACATTGTCTTTATCAAGGGGAAATGAAACCTGTGGTTTGGGCTCCAGCGGTGAGCAAGGCCAACTTTTCTCACTTGTCCCGCCATGGGTGGTGACCCGCAGGCTGGGGTGGGGCCAGGTCCATCTTTCCTGTTCCCCAATCTTAGAGGTGGCAGAGGCCCTTCGAGTCACCTTGCTGGCCCACTGAGGAGCTGTGGCTGAGGAATACACCCATCAGGGCCGACTCCTTGCTGGGAACTTGGTGAGGCAGATGGACGTGGTGATGAGCCACAGTGAGGTTTCCCCCACATCCTTTTGCCTGCCCTGCTGCGTCTGCTGCTGAGTCAGAATCCATCTGGGGAGCCACCGTGGGATGTACTATGATGCACTGGGCAGCCTCCGAGGGCCAGGCAGGCTTTGAAGAGAGGCAAGAAGGTCAGAGGAAAATCAGAGGCACTCTGTTTCCACCTGCATCCACTGCTCAGTCCCCGGGGTCATTCTTTGCCAGTCTCAGACCTTGCCACAGTGCTCTGGCCAAAGCGCCCCTTAGGCACGCCTTGGGGACCCCAACATGTGCTCATGCCAGGCGCTGGCCTGGGCACATCCCCATGCTCCCTGGCACAGCCCTACAAGCTGGATGTGGCAGGAGTGAGGGCTGGTGCCTGACCTGCATCTGTCTCAGCCCTTCCCTACTCACTGCCTCCACTTACGGAGGCTGGAGCTTTTCAGTGGGGCACAGACATTTTGGCATTTGGGTGGGACATTTTTTTTTCTTCTAGGGCAGGACAATTCTTCATATAAGACTGTTCTATGCATTGCAGCTAAATCATTGTGACAACCCAAAATGACTCCACACATTTCCAAACATCCCTTAGAGGTGTGAGTTTGACCCAGGCTGAGACCCACAGAGCAAATGTTGGATCCGTGCAACCGGCAGCCTGGTTGCAAGGCTTCCCTTTGGCAGTGACATTGAGGGGAAGTCTTCAGGTAAACAGGTTTTTCTAAGAAAAAAGACAAAGATGATGAATCCTCTCTCTGACCTCCTGAACCAAAACCAGCAACCGCACATGGCTGAGCTTTTCAAGATGAAATGAACAAAGCTGCTGTTTTGCGGGAGGTTGGAGCTCTGCAGTTACCTGCAGCCAAATGCATTCCTAACTGCTACAGGTGAGGAAACAGGCACAGAGTGGTCAAGCCACTCGCCCAAGGTTGCTTCACTGGAAAGGAGGGAAGCCAGGATTCACACCCAGACATTCTATGATTCTGCCCTGACTCATTCCAGCTTTTCTTTCTTTCTTTTCTTTCTTTCTTTCTTTTTCTTTCTTTCTTTCTATTTCTCTTCCTTCCTTTCTTTTTTTTTTTTTTTTTTTTTGACAGAGTCTCACTCTGTCACTCAGCTCTGTAATCCCAGCACTTTGGGAGTCTCAGATGGGCAGATCACCTGAGGTCGGGAGTTTGACACCAGACTAGCCAACATGGTGAAACCCCATCTCTACTAAAAATACACAAATTAGCCAGGCGTGGTGGTGGGTGCTTGTAATCCCAGCTACTTGGGAGGCTGAGACAGAAGAATTGCTTGAACTCCCACAGGCAGAGGTTGCAGTGAGCTGAGATCACAGTACTGCACTCCAGCCTGAGCAACAGAGCAAGACTCTGTCTTAAAAAAATAAATAAAAATAAAAATGGCCACAGAAACATTTCCAGTCCCATGTGTTACTCCAGAACCTTACCACTCTCCCATAGGGGAGAGTGTCCCACGGTGGCTCCCCAGATGGATCCTGACTCAGCAGCAGACGCAGCAGGGCAGGTGAAAGGATGTGGGGGAAACCTCACTGTTGCTCGTCACCACGTCCATCCACCTGACCCAGTTCCCAGCAAGGAGTCAGCCCTGATGGGCGTGTGCCTCGGCCACAGCTCCTCAGTGGGCCAGCAAGGTGCCTCAAAGGTCCTCTGCCACCTTCAAGATTGGGCAACAGGAGAGGTGGACCTGGCCCCACCCTGGCCCTGCTTGGTGTATCTTATGATAATTCACTTTGATGTTGTTTCTTTCATTTGTCCGGCCATTTTCCATTGTATGAGTGTATCATACCTTGTGTATCTCCTTGATGACGTTTCCAATTTCTTCCTCCTGGGATGCTCATAGAGCTTCTGTAGAGTCTCTGCCTGGAAGAGGAATGCTCACAGATGTTCTCACCTTCACCCTGATCTTGACCTGACCTTCAAGCTGCCATTTTGTGTCACTTCCAAGTGGCTTTACCAATCTTCTCCAGAGCTGGTGGGTTTTTATTTGTTTGTCTGTTTGTTTGAGACGAAGTCTTGCTCTTTTGCCCAGCCTGGAGTGCAATGATGTGATTTTGGCTCACTGCAACCTCTGCCTCTGCGGTTTAAGTGATTCTCCTGCCTCAGCCTCCCGAGTAGCTGGGACTACAGGTGCGTGCCACCATGCTGGGCTAATTTTTTGTAGTTTTAGGAGAGATGTGGTTTCACGGTGTTAGCCAGGATGGTCTCCATCTCCTGACCTCGTGATCCACCCATATCGGCCTCCCAAAGTGTTGGGATTACAGGCATGAGCCGCCGCGCCCAGCCCAGAGCTGGTGTTTTTAAGGAGTCTCATTTGGGTCTACATTTAATAATATCAGCTTTTATGTTTTCTTCCATTTTAAATTATCTGATGGGTGAGACATAATATCTCCTTGTTGTTTTAATTTACCTTTCTCAGCCAGGCGCAGTGGCTCACGCCTGTAATCCCAGCACTTTGGGAGGCTAATGTGGGTGGATCACTTGAGGTCAGGAGTTCGAGACCAGCCTGGCCAACATGGCAAAACCTCGTCTCTACTAAAAATACAAAAATTAGCCAGGCGTGGTGGTGCACACCTGTAATCCCAGCTACTTGGGAGGCTGAGGCAGGAGAATTGCTTGAACCCAGGAGGTGGAGGTTGCAGTGAGCTGAGACTGCACCAGTACACTCCAGCCTGGGCAACAGGGTGAGACTATCTCAAAAAAAAATTTACATGTCTCTGATACTATTGAGACAGAGACTTTTTCTGTTTTTGAGGCAGGGTCTCACTCTGCTGCCCAAGCTGGAATGCAGTGGCATGATCATAGGTCACTGTAGCCTCCATCTGCTGGATTCAATCCATCCCCCTGCTTTAGCCTCCAGAGTAGCTGGGACTACAGGCATGCACCATCATGCCCGGCTAATTATTTTGTTTTCTGTAGAGACGAGGTCTCACTTTGCTGCCCAGTCTGTTCTCCAGCTCCTGGACTCAAGTGATCCTCCCACCTTGGCCTCCCAAATTGCTGGGATTATTGACATGAACCACCATGCCCAGCCCAGAGCCTCTTTTTCATATGATTATTGGCCATCTAGGCTTTTTTTTCCTATAAGGTTCATAACCTGTGCCAAATTTTCTGTTGGGTTGGTTGTCTCTCTTCTTGATTTGCAGAAGACCTTTACATATTCTGGATACCAATTTGCTGATTATATTGCAGATATTTCCTCCATATTGTGCATATCTGTTATTTATTTATTTATTTATTTATTTATTTATTTATTTTTGAGACAGGGTCTTGCTCTGTCACTCAGGCTGGAGTGCAGTGGCCCAGTCTCAGCTCACTGCAACCTCTGCCTCCCAGGTTCCAGTGATTCTCCCACCTCAGCCTTCCAAGTAACTGGGACTACAGGCATACGCCACCACACCTGGCTAATTTTTGTATTTTTTGTAGAGACAGAGTTTTGCCATGTTGCCCAGGCTGGTCTCAAACTCCTCAGCTCAAGTAATCTGCCTGCCTCAGTCTCCCAAAATGCTGGGATTACAGATACGAGTCATGGTGCTCAGCTGTACGTATCCTTTAATCTTGTGGCATTTTTTTTTGTTGAACTTAAGATTTAAATGTCAATATCATCAGACTCATCAATTTTTTTCCATTGTAGCTGATACCTTTTGTGCCTAAGATACTCTTTCCTGTCAAAAGGCATGAGGAGCTGGGTGCCGTGGCTCACACCTGTAATCTCAGCACTCTGGGAGGCTGAGGCAGGTGGATCACTTGATGTCAGGAGTTCAAGACCAGCCTGGCCAACATGGTGAAACCCTGTCTCTACTAAAAATACAAAAATTATCTGGGCGTGGTAGAACACACCTGTAATCCCAGCTACTTGGGAGACTGAGACAGGAGAATCGCTTGAATCCGGGAGGTAGAGGTTGTAGTGAGCTGAGATCACGCCATTGCATTGCACTCCAGCCTGGGCAACAGAGTGAGACTCCATCTCAAAAAAAAGAAAAGAAAAGAAAAAAAAGGCTGGGCACGGTGGCTCACGCCTGTAATCCCAACACTATGGGAGGCTGAGGCGGGAGGATCACCTGGCATCGGGAGTTTGAGACCAGCCTGACCAACATGGAGAAACCCTGTCTCTACTAAAGAAAAAAAAAAAAAATTAGCCGAGTGTGGTGGCGGATGCCTGTAATCCCAGCTACTGGGGAGGCTGAGGCAGGAGAATCACTTGAACCCAGGAAGGGGAGGCTGCGGTGAGCCGAGACCGTGCCATTGCACTCCAACCTGGGCAACAAGAGCAAAACTCCGTCTCAAAAAAAAAAAAAAAAAAAAAAAAAGAAGGCTGAGTGTGGTGGCTCACACCTGCAATCCCAGCATTTTGGGAGGCTGAGGCGGGTGGATCATGAGGTCAGGAGATCGAGACCATCCTGGCCAACTGGTGAAACCCCGTCTCTACTAAAAATAAAAAAAGAATTAGCCAGGAATGGTGGTGTGTGCCTGTAGTCCCAGCTACTCAGGAGGCTGAGGCAGGAGAGTTGCTTGAATCCAGGAGGCGGAGGTTTCAGTGAGCCGAGATCATGCCACTGCACTCCAGCCTGGGCAACAGAGCAAGACTCCGTCTCAAACAAAAAAAAAAAAGAAAGAAAAAAAGAGGCACGTGGGGGCTTTGGAAGGCACTGGCTATGTCCCATTTGTTGTTGTGTTTTTTATTTTTATTTTTTTTAGACGGATTCTCGCCCTTTCGCCAGGCTGGAGTGCAGTGGCACGATCTCGGGTTACTGCAAACTCCGCCTCCAGGGTTCAAGCGATTCTTCTGCCACAGCCTCCCAAGTAGCTGGGACTACAGGTGTGTGCCACCATGCCGGGCTAATTTTTGTATTTTTAGTTGAGACGGGGTTTCACCATATTGGCCAGGCTGGTCTCAAACTCCTGACCTTCTGATCCGCCCTCCTCGGCCTCCCAAAGTGTTGGGATTACAGGAGTGAGCCACCGTGCCTGGCCTTACATCCCGCTTGTTGATCTGGATGCTGGCTACACAGCTGGGGTCACTGTGAAATTTCATCAAGCGGCACCCTTATGACTTGTACACTATGCATGTTGTAATCAAACAAAAAGTTTATTTAAAAAAGAAATTGTTCCTTACCCTGAGGTCATAAAAATATTCTTCTATATTTTCTTCTAAATGTGTTAAAATTTTGTTATTCACATGTAAGTCCTGAATCCACCTGGAGTTGTGTGTGTGGTGTTAGGTGGGGATCTAATTTTACTTTCCCATATGGATCACCACTTGTCCCAACGCCATTTATAAAAGAGTCTATCTTTTCCCCACTGGTTGGTGATGCTTCTCTGTCATACGGCAAATTCTCATTTATGCAAGGTTCTGTCTCCGGGACTCCTGTTCTGTCCTTTTTTTTCCCTTTATTTTTCATTTTTAAATGGGCTCTCACTCTGTCACCCAGGCCGGAGTGCAGTGGCATGATCTCAGCTCACCGCGGCCTCAACCTCCCAGGCTCAAGTGATCCTGCCACCTCAGTCTCCCAAGTAGCTAGGACTACAGGCATGTGCCGCCACACCCAGCTAATTTTGTTTTTGTAAAGACAGGGTCTCTCTGTGTTGCCCAGGCTGGTCTCGAACTCCTGGGCTCAAGGGACCCTCCCACCTTGGCCTCCCAAAGTTCTGGGTTTACAAGCATGAGCCACCGCACTCGGCCCCCCCTACCCTTTTTTTTTAATAGCCAGATGCCAAAGCCATTCTGTCTTAATTTCTTTAAAAATTGTTAATATCTGATAGGACCCTTTTGAGGACTTTAAGATGAGAAATGGTCAGAATGATGCTGGGATGAGGTCACTCTGATGAGAGGAGAATGGGTTTTAGAGACCAAGGCCAAAGGGTCAGGAGGAGCTGGTGGTAGCTATGGTGACCTGGCAGAAGGTTAGCAGCCCAGCGTGGGAGGTGGCTGGGAAGTGCACTGAGCGCACTGATGATGTGCCGAGGTAAAGCAGACGGGACTCGCCGAAAGATTGGATGTGGGGGTGAAGCAAAAATTGGGATCCAAGATGACTCTGTGGTTTTTGGCCAAAGTAGCTAGAGGAGAGTGGAGCCACGGGCTGAGATGGGAAAGCCTGGGGTGACGCTGACAGGTGGGCACTTAGAAAGTGCTCGATTTGGCAGGGCACGGTGGCTCACATCTGTAATCCCAGCACTTTGGGAGGCCAAGGTGGGTGGATCATGAGGTTAGGAGATCGAGACCATCTTGGCTAACACGGTGAAACCCTGTCTCTACTAAAATACAAAAAATTAGCCGGGCGTGATGGCGCGTGCCTGTAATCCCAGCTACTTGGAGGCTGAGGCAGGATAATCGCTTGAACCTGGGAGGTGGAGGTTGCAGTGAGCTGAGATTGGGCCACTGCACTCCAGCCTGGTGACAGAGCAAGACCCGGTCTCAAAAAAAAAAAAAGAAAGTGCTCAATTTGCCAGGCGCAGTGGCCCACGCCTGTAATCCTAACACTTTGGGAGGCCGAGGCGGATGGATCACCTGAGGTCAGGAGTTCAAGAACAGCCTGGCCAACATGGTAAAACCCCATCTCTACTAAAAATACAAAACTAGCCGGGCGTGGTGGTGGGTGCCTGTAATCCCAGCTACTTGGGAGACTGAGGCAGGAGAATCACTTGAACCCGGGAGGCAGAAGTTGCAGTGAGCCGAGGTCATGCCACTGCACTCCAGCCTGGATGACAGAGTGAGACTCCATCTCAAAAAAAAAAAAAAAAAAAAGAAAAAGAAAGAAAGTGCTCAATTCACCAGGCGTGGGCCACGCCTGTAATCCCAATACTTTGAGAGGCCGAGGCAGGAGGATCGGTTGAGCCTGGGAGGATGAGGCTGTAGTGAGCTGAGATCATGCCACTGCACTTCAGCCTGAGCGACAGAGCAAAACCCTGTCTTTAAAAGAAAAAAAAAGAAAATACTCAATCCACGCTTGTCTGAATGAATGAGCAAATGGGTGGGTGGGCATGAGTGAGAGGCAAGGCTACCCCACTGCCTGCAGCCCACCTGTCTGAGTCCTCAGGGAGGATTAAGTGAACCCCCCTTGCTCACAGGGTTCTGTGTCTCAGTGAGTCTGTACCACGTCCCCCCAGCGGGACTGTCATTGCTGGCAGCACTCCCCGCTCCCCACCAGGCACATCACTAGGCCCCCCATGCTCTTGGTCCCAGGCCACAGGTTCATGGAAGGCTCCCAGGCCCAAGGGAGCTAGGGAGGGCACAGCCAGGCCCTTGAGGCTGCAGGTCTGGCCCTGTCACTCATCTGCCTCCTCAGTTAAGGAGCCTCCAGGTCATTTTGGGGGCCTGTGCTATTTGCCAGCACAAAGCAGCACCAGTGTGGAGAAGCCACAGCCTCAGAGGCCCTGCTTGTGGGTGGGGGCTGAGACCTGAGTGTTCAGGACCAGATCACCGCTCTGTTTATAGCCCGCCTCTGGCTCATCATCACCAGCTGTTATGAAAGCACCTTCAGTCCATAAAACGTGGAAGTTGCATCTGAGTGCTCAGGCTGAGTCATTTCTCTGAGAAAGCCTTCAGCTGGAGCAGCATTTTTTTCGACCAGGCCTGGAGTGGGGCTCCGTGTGGGTCTGTGTTTACCCTGTGGGCAGCCCCAGGGGGCCTGGCAGGCCCTGGGCACAGGCTTCATTTACTCACTCATTGAATCAAGACCATTTTTAGGCTGGGCACGGTGGCTCATGCCTTTAATCCCAGCACTTTGGGAGGCCAAGGCAGGAGGATGGCTTGAGCCCAGGAGATTGAGACCAGCTTGGGCAACATAGTGAGACTCCATCCCTACAAAAAAAAAAAAAAAATTTGGCCAGGCATGGTGGCACGTGCCTGTGGTGCCAGCTACTCAGGAGGCTGTAGGGGAAGATCGCTTGAGCCCAGGAGGTCAAGGCTGCAGTGGGCAGTGTTTGTGCCATTGCACTGCAGCCCGGGGGACAGGACAAGGCACTGTCTCAAAAAAAAAAAAAAGGAACCAGTTTTAGCCAGGCGTGGTGGTATGCGCCTGTGGTCCCAGCTACTCAGGAGTCTGAGGCTGGAGAATTGCTTGAGCCCAGAAGTTCAAGGTTACAGTGAACTATGATGACATCCAGCCTGGGTGATGGAGTGAGACCCTGTCTCTAAAAAAGAGTTTTAAAGAATTATTTTTTCTTTTTTTTCTTTCTTTTTTTTTTTTTTTTTTGAGACAGAGTTTCACTCTTGTTGCCCAGGCTGGAGTACAATGGCATGATCTCGGCTCACTGCAACCTCCGCCTCCTGGGTTCAAGCGATTCTCCTGCCTCAGCCTCCCGAAGAGCTGCACCACCACGCTCAGCTAATTTTGTATTTTTAGTAGAGACGGGGTTTCTCCATGTTGATCAGGCTGGTCTTGAACTCCCAACCTCAGGTGATCCGCCTGTCTTGGCCTCCCAAAGAGCTGGGATTACAGGCGTGAGCCACTGTGCCCAGCAAAAAAATTATTTTTTCAAAGGATCATTTTAAAGCCCCTTTTGTGTGTTGAGAGTCAAGCACTATCACCAGGATGGACAAGGAGAAGTAATAAGGGAGGGAACCCTGAGTTCTTACATCCCCAAATAACGCGGGGGTGTGCAGAGAGGCCAGGTGCAGGTTCAGGAAGACTGGGAAGAGAAAGGGGAGGGAGGAGCTGAACTGCAGGGTGGAAAGATTGGGCTCAGCCTGGGTCTGCTCTGTACATCCACCTGGGGGTCCTTGGCCTGGAGCTCTGTCTGCCCTGCCAGAACCTCTGGGCTGAATGGGAAGGAGGGAGGAGGGAGGCATGGTAGAAACCAGTCTTTTTTTTTTTTTTTTTTTTTTTTTTTTTGAGACAGTCTTGCTCTGTTGCCCCGGCTGGAGTGCAGTGGTGCGATCTTGGCTCATTGCAAAGTCTACCTCCCAGGTTCAAGCTATTCTCCTGCCTCAGCCTCCCGAGTAGCTGGGATTACAGGCACGCGCCACCACACCCGACTAATCTTTTTGTATTTTTAGTAGAGACAGGGATTAGCCGTGTTGCCCAGGCTGGTCTGGAACTCCTGGGCTCAAGTGATCCTCCTGCTTCAGCCTCCCAAAGTGCTGAGATTACAGGCATGAGCCACTGCGCCTGGCTAAAACCAATCTTTATTAAGCACCTACTTCATGCCAAGCCCTGGGCTAGCTTGTTCTCTTAAGGCCTCACACCTGGTCCAAGAATTCTGACCACTTGCCGGCTGCAAGGATTTGGGTTAGTGACTTCACCTCCTACGTGTTATATCCTCTTCATCCCCTGCCTCATCTTCCTCACCTGGCCTTATGGCTTTGCCAGTCAAGCGAGATGACACAAGAAAGGCATTTACTCCATAAATGCAGCTGGTGCCTTTATAAAGAATCATGCTATGGCTGGCGTTTATGAAGCACACACGATACCAGGCACGATGCTGAGTGTCTTCCTCACAGTAACTCCATGAATCCATCGTCTCTGGTCCATTAAAAAAATTGTTTTATAGTCAGATAAGGAAAACATGGAAACATTGCATTCTCCCTCCTGGGGTACTTTAATATATTAAAGGCTGTTAGCCTGGGCACAGTGGCTCACGCCTGTAATCCCGGCACTTTGGGAGGATGAGGCAGGAGGATCGCTTGAACCCAGGAGTTCGAGACTAGCCTGTGCAACATAGAGAGACCCTGTCTCAACAAAAAATACAAAAATTAGCCAGGCATGGTGGCGTGTGTCTGTGGTCCCAGCTACTCGGGAGGCTGAGGTGGGAGGATTGCTTGTGCCCAGGAGTTTGAGACCAGCTTGGGCAACATAGTGAGATCTTGTCTCTTAAAAGAATTTTTTAAAAATTAGCTGGGTGTGGTGGTGCACACCTGTAGTCGCAGCTACTCAGGAGCCTGAAGCAGGAGGATGGCTCGAGCCCAGGAGTTCGAGGCTGCAGTGAGCTGTGATTGTGCCACTGCACTCCAGCCTGGGCAACAGAGCAAGACTCTTTACTATATATTACAAGGACTCAGGAGTCCTATGGTTAAAAGGAAATAAAAGCAAAACCCACCTGTTTGTGTTTAGCCATCATTTCCCATGTTTGTTTGCTTCCTGAGCTTCATTTCTGAGGAGCCCTTATTAAGATTGAGATTGAAGCCTGTCTGTGTTCACAGGTACACATGCAGACCTTCAACAGCTGTCTCGTCAGTCTTTTACGGGTTTATGGGGGCCCTGTGGACCACTTTGGCTTAGGACCCTGTATTGTTCATTTTTTCTCTCATTCATTCATTCATTCATTCAACCACGTGTCCCTTGATTCTCAAAGGCACAGTGAGAGGTGGGTAAGACACAGCTTCTGTTTTAAGGATCTCATAGATCAGGCCAGGCACAGTGGCTCACACCTGTAATCCCAGCACTTTGGGAGGCCGAGGCAGGCAAATTGCTTGAGCCCAGGAGTTCGAGACCAGCCTGGGTAACAAAGCAAGACCTTGTCTTGACAACTTAAAAATTAGCTGGGCATGGTGGCATACACTTGTAGTCCCAGCTACTGGGGAGGCTAAAGATCCCTTGAGCCCAGGAGTTTGAGGCTGTAGTGAGCTATGACTGTGCCACTGCACTCCAGCCTGGGTGACACAGTGAGACTCTGTCTTAAAAAAAAAAAAAATCTCATAGATCTGATGAGGGAGACGGAACAGTGTGATCAGAAATTCAAGGCACTGAGGGAGCCCAGGGGCTGGCACTTAACCCAGTCTTGGGCATCAGGGATGGCTTCCTGGAGGAGGTGTGGGTTAAGTTGGCCAGGTGAAGGACATCAGTGGTCAGAGTTGTACATATTTGTACATCTTTGAAAACAGTTGTACATCTTTGAAAAACTGTGCATTATCTAGACTCTCCAGGACCTCCCTTGGATTATCTGACTCCATTCTATGAAGACTACTTACAACTCTTTAACTTGTAGGTTAGTGATAGCAATGCAAAATTTTGCTTCTCTACAGACCTGCAGATTCCAAACTCCAGTAGGAGACCAGTTGACTCTCCCCTCCCTAGCTTTGCCCCCATTTGCGTGTTTTTGTTGTTGTTGTTGTTGTTTTTTGAGATGGAGTTTTGCTTTTGTTGCCTAGGCTGGAATGCAATAGTGCAATCTTGGCTCACTGCAACCTCCACCTCCCAGGCTCAAGCGATTCTCCTGCCTCAGCCTACTGAGTAGCTGGGATTACAGGCATGTGCCACCATGCCCAGCTAATTTTTTTTTTTTTTTTTTTTTTTTTGGTGGAGACGGGGTTTTACCATGTTGGCCAGGCTGGTCTCGAACTCCTGACCTCAGGTGATCCACCCACCTCGGCCTCCCAAAGTGCTGGAATTACAGGCATGAGCCGCTGTGCCCAGCTCCCATTTGCATGTTCTTTTCCATATTCCTGATTATTAAATGTGTCTGTTCTTAGGATTTCATTTGAACCAGTTGTAACATCTGCCTGGTTTCCTTAAATTGGTTTAGGAGTAGAATAAAATATTTGACACATATTCTTTTTTTAATATATGTATGGAAGGCATGATTTTGCCTCTTTTTGAAGTGTCTTTTAGAAGGACGATAGTGAGAGGCTCACCGGGCAGAAGGCACGCGTGCAGAGGCCTGGAGGCTTGCTCTTCTCGGCTGCTGAGTAGCCAGTAGCCTGACGCAAATCCTTATCAGAGCAGACCACATTTTCCAGCCCCCGTTCATGAAGGGTGGAGGGAGCTGGAGAAAAATGAAAACATGCTAGTGACCAGTGGCTAGGCACTGATGAGTCTGCACAACCAGGGATTTCAGGACTTGTGTCACCTTCCAGTTATGTTTGCATTTGAGTTAAATGCACTTCTGCGGTGGAATCCATTGCATCTGGGTCAGTGCAATTGAAGTGGTCATTGTAGGGAGCCAGCACTGGGCAGGGGCCACTGCTGTGTTTAATGAATTCACCTCGTTCACAAACACAAGCAAAACTCACCAAGAACAGAAGTGAGTTGGGACATTCACAGCCTTGGTCTGAAACCAGGGAGATTCCGCAAAAGCTTATTAGGATTGCTATTCCTAGGCACATGAGCCCTTCAGTCAATTAGCTTAAAAAATTCCTGAAGTGCATACACAAAAAAAGCAAAAGAAACTGGACTTTCCATCTAAGAATGCTGGGTAATATATGCAGCATTGGAAGGAAACTGGCTTTGGGCTCTTCCAGGCTGGCCTGGAGCATGAGGCCCAGCACGGCCTGCATTAGCCTCAGGCTCTGGCGGGAAGGATCTCACTTCTCTCCCCCGTCTTTCTTGTCCATTTTGTTGGCTGGCCTAACAGCAAAACCCCCGTTCCGTCATCCTCAAGAACAAGTCCGAGCCAGGCACGGTGGCTCACACCTGTAATTCCAGCACTTTGGGAGGCCAAGGTGGGTGGATCACCTGAGGTCAGGAGTTTGAGACTTGCCTGGCCAACATGTGAAGCCGTCTCTACTAAAAATACAAAAATTAGTCGGGCATGGTGGTGCACGCCTATAATCGCAACTACTCAGGAGGCTGAGGCAGGAGAATCATTTGAACCCAGGAGGTGGAGGTTGCAGTGAGCCGAGATTGCGCCACTGCAATCTGGGCTGGGTAACGAGTGAGACTCCGTCTCAAACAAAAGAACAGGCCCTGCGTGGGTGCCTCAGCCAGGCACCACTTTGTTCCCTGAGGCCTAGCTCCCCGTGGATGTGGTGCTGTCAGGGGAGTTCGTTGGTGTAGGAGCACGGGGCATCTATGATGTGCCAGGCACTGTGCCGGGCACTGGGGAGACAACAGTGACCTGGGCACACCCTGCTCTCATGGAGCTCACGGCTAAGGAGACAATACAGTGTGGAGGGGGCTGGGCTGAGAGGAGGCGCCCAATGGGGCATGGGCACAGAGACGCCCCAGGGGACGTCCCTGCAGTGGGGGGAGGGGGGCACAGTGGTAAAGGGAAGGAAAATGGCCATCGCGTCACAGTACCTGTTGGGACCGGTTCTGAGCTCCCATCAGATCCTCTGGAGAACTCCTAGGAATGCAGGAGGTGGAGCTGAGGGGCAGAGGCCAGAGCTGGACTCCTTTCCCTGCACTGGATGGTCAGCGGGCCCTTTCCTGAACGCCAGGCCTCTTGCAGGGCCTACGTAGGGGCTCCTACTGCGGCTTCTTCCCTGGCAGAGCCCAGCAGGAGCTCCTCGGCTCCCCTAGCTCTGCTTCCTCTTTTGATTTGCATAACAATCTGCCCAGACGAGCTTTGTACCTCTGCATCAGGGCTGGAGCCCAGCGCTGTGCTCTGCCAAAGGAGGAAAAAAAAAAAAAAGCTCTTACAATAAGAAAGCCCGACGGACGGTGGTTCCTGGGCAGGCTTCCCAGGGAATCAGCTCTGGATGACCTGCTGGCTTTGGTGTGGGTTTGGGTCAGACCCAGGTGAGGGGCCCTCTTTGAATCTTCCCCCTCCTGGCATAAGGCCCAGAGTCCTGTTCGTGGGGCCTGCTGGAGCCTGGTGCCCAGAACATTTATCCTACACACACCCACATGCCAAGGGATGTAGGATAGTGTAGTCATCACAACACTGCTTGTCTTAGCAAAAGACTAGAAATAACCTGCATGTCCAACAGTAGGGGATTGGTGATTCTGGACGTCCATACAAAGAATGACCCCATAAAAAGAATGAGGTTTGGGGCTGGGTGCAGTGGCTCATGTCTGTAATCCCAGCACTTGGGGAAGCTGAGGCAGGCAGATCACCTGAGGTCAAGAGTTTGAGACCAGCCTGGCCAACACGGAGAAACCCCATCTCTACGAAAAATACAAAAATTAGCTGGGCGTGGTGGTGCATGCCTGTAATCCCAGCTACCTGGGAGGCTGAGGCAGGAGAATCGCTTGGACCCAGGAGGCGGAGGTTGCAGTGAGCCAAGATCATGCCACTGCACTCCAGCCTGGGTAACAAAGTGAGGCTCTGTCTCAAAAAAAGAACGAGGTTCCATGGGGTGTACTCACAAAGTGGGGGGTGGGGGCATCAGTTCTTGCACCCCCATGTGGGCACTTTGCCTATTCCATGCCCCTAGAGGCTGCAACAAATGCGTCAGCTGGGGATGCCCCAAACGCCCCAGGGACTCAGCGTCCCTGCTTTCCATGGCTCTAGTCCTTGCCTGGCACTGGGGCTGAGGAGTCCGCTGACGACAATGGGCCTGCCAGTCCCCGCTCCGTGGCCACGAGTGGCCCCTTCTGCACGCCCTGCCTCCGCTCCCTCATCTGTAAGATGGGGACAATCCACCGACCTTGTATGTGTGATGAGCCCCTGGCGTACAGAGCGGCTGTGCAATAAAGGTGATTCTGACCGAAGTTTGGCCCCGTGGGAACTGTAGGGTGGGGGAGCGTGCAGAGCAGGGAGAGCAGGAACACAGTCCCAGAGATGCCCTGATAGGTCTTCAGGGAGGAGCGGGGACTCCAGTGCTTGGGCCCTACCTGTCACCTGCTATGTGTGTGTTGGGGGCCTGAGCCGCCTTCACAGCAGACAGCGCTCTGGAGGGGAAGAGTTCACCTCACAATTTCCTGAGCTGGGGAGGAGGGTGCGTCAGGCAACACCGCGGTGACAGCCCCCGCCCTCGCCCCCGCCTGCTCCGAGATTTACCCAGCCCTGCTGGCAGCGGCGGGTGACCTCAGCTCACCCACCAGTCTCAGGAAGGGGTGAGGTTGTGCTGGGGGATTGCCCTGAAGCTGCTTTTGCTGCGGTGCCTAGAGGGTATGATTTGGGGGTGCTTTCGTAGGAGCTGGTGGAGTTGGTGTGGGGTGACACTTCCCAAGGCTCTGCAGGGGCAGGGGGGCCTGAGCTGAAAGAGAAGGGGGCTGAACCGGGCGCGGTGGCTCATGCCTGCAATCCCAGCACTTTGGGAGGCCGAGGCGGGCAGATCACCTGAGGTCAGGAGTTCAAGACCAGCCTGACCAACATGGTGAAACCCCATCTCTACTAAAAATACAAAAATTAGCCGGGCGTGGTGGCACATGCCTGTAGTCCTGGCTATTTGGGAGGCTGAGGCAGGAGAAGCGCTTGAACCTGGGAGGTGGAGGTTGTAGTGAGCCGAGATTGTGCCATTGCACTCCAGCCTGGGTGACAGAGTGAGACTCCGTCTCAAAGGAAAAAAAAAGAGAGAAGGGGGCTGAGAAGGGAGGTCCCACTGGGCCTGGAGGCCTGGACCCAGCCCTGTCCAGCATCTCCCACAGTGTCTGACGGTGCCCCCATGACCCCCACAGACCCTCAACTGGCTCCACAAGGAGCCTCCGTCCTCCCAGAAAAGTTAGGTTTTTTAAATTTCCATTTAAGCTTTTTATCACATTCTTCCCTTACTGACTTGATTTCCCCCTTTCATTCCCCCTTCCTGTAAGCTCGTCTCATTGTCATTCTTTCCAACAAACCTGAAACTAAAAATAGCTAACATTTCACACGTTATCTTCTTGATTCCTATCAAGCAGCTCATGATGCCCCTATCTTTCCGATGAGGAAAGAGAGTCATCCAGGGCAAAGGACTTGGCCAAGGTCACCCAGTAGGCAGGGCCCGTGTGCCTTCCTGCCTCCCGGGTGCAAGGCCCCAAGGCTTCGCCGGCTCTGAGCCTCTGAGTCACTGGAACAAGGCAGAGCCAGGTGGTCTGGACTGTCACGGAAGCCTTCCAGAAAAGGAGGCCTCGAAGCCTAGGGGCGAGGAGGAGATTCTGGTGGAGGTAAAAGCACCTGCAAAAGCCAAGCAGTGGTCGGCTGGGTGTGGTGGCTCACGCCTGTAACTCAGCATTCTGTGAGGCCGAGGCGGCAGATCACTTGAGGTCAGGAGTTCGAGACCAGCATGGCCAACATGGTGAAGCCCCGTCTGTACTAAAATACAAAAATTAGCCAGGCATGGTGGCACACACCTATAGTCCCAGTTACTCGGAAGGCTGAGGCAGGAGAATCACTTGAACTTGGGAGGCAGAGGTTGCAGTGAGCAGAGATCGTGCCACTGCACTCCAGCCTAGGTGACAGGGTGAGACTCTGTCTCAAAAAAAAAAAAAAAATAGGCAGTGGGCAGGCCTGTGTGGCCAGAGTGAGGGCACAGTGGACGGGGCAGGAGTCAGGGCCCTGCTTAAGAGATAGGTGGGTGATGAGGGGGAGGAAGTGGATGGGGCTTACGGGGCTCACCAATGCCAACGAGGCAGGGGCTTAGGATCAGGACTGGGACAAGCATCTCTGGCAAGAGCGCCTCATGAGATAGCCTGGATGGTTGTTCCTTCCAAGAGAGCCTAAAAACCCAGGGGAACCAGCTTCCCTTTTCAGCTCTTCCCAGGGTCAGCTGCTCCGCAGGGAATCTTATCTTTAGCTGGGACCTCCAGAGACTCTGGGTCCCCACGCTGTCTTCCTGAAAACCCTGTTTACACAAGAGTGTCAATGACTCATCCAGCTTCAAATGTAGTGCTTCCCAACTCCAGCTGTTCAGAAGAATCATCCTCCGTGGATGTGTTTTATGTGTGTGTGAAGGTAAATTGTTTTCTTTTTTCTTTTTTTTTTTTTTTTTTGAGATGGAATCTTGTTCCATCACCCAGGCTGGAGTGCCATGGCATGATGTCGGCTCACTGCAACCTCCTACACCTCCTGGGTTCAAGTGATTCTCCTGCCTCAGCTTCCCAAGTAGTTGGGATTACAGGCGCCCACCACCACGCCTGGTTAATTTTTGTATTTTTAGTAGAGACAGGGTTTCCTCACGTTGGTCAGGCTGGTCTCAAACTCCTGACTTCAGGTGATCCACCTGCCTAGGCCTCCCAAAGTGCTGGGATTACAGGCAGGAGCCACCGCGCCCGGCCTTTGTTTTTATAAAAATGATATATGGCCTGGCACGGTGGCGCATGCTGTCTCTACTAAAAATGCAAAAATCAGCCAGGCATGGTGGCGCGTGCCTATAATCTCAGCTACTTGGGAGGCTGAGGCAGGAGAATTGCTTGAACCCAGGAGGCGGAGGTTACAGTGAGCCAAGATCACACCACTGCACTCCAGCCTGGGCGACAGAGTAAGAGTCCATCTCAGGAAAAGAAAAAAAAAGATGTATGCTGGCTGGGTGCAGTGGCTCACGCCTGTAATCCTAGCACTTTGGGAGACCGAGGCAGGTGGATCACTTGAGGTCAGGAGTTTGAAACCAGCCTGGCCAACATGATGAAACCCTGTCTCTACTAAAAATACACACACAAAAAAATTGTCTAGGCGTGGTGGCGTGCACCTGTAATCCCAGCTACTCAGGCACCTGAGGCAGGAGAATTGCTTGAACCTGGGAGGTGGAGGTTGCAGTGAGCCGAGATCATGCCACCACACTCCAGCCTGGGCGACAGAGAGAGACTCTGTCTCAAAAAAAAAAAAAAAAAAAGATATATGCTAACTCTCAAACAAAACAAGCAATTCAGAAAAGTACAAAGAAGGAAGTAACAAACTCCTCCCATTAGAATGATATCTTCAGGCCGGGTGCATTGGCTTGCACCTGTAATCCCAGCACTTTGGGAGGCTGAGGAGGGTGGATCATAAGGTCAGGAGTTCAAGCCCAGCCTGGCCAAGATGGTGAAACCCCGTCTCTACTAAAAATACAAAAATTAGCTGGGCGTGGTGGCGGGTGCCTGTAATCCCAGCTACTCGGGAGGCTGAGGCAGAGAATTGCTTGA